>NC_000010.11:14252424-14403939 GCF_000001405.40 Homo sapiens | reverse complement strand
TTTGTCAGTGAGGCCTGGCTGCAGGAGGAAGAGGACATTTTAAAATATGAGGCACATTCCTCACCACCCCTCAGTATGGCTCTGGGAATCTGCTGATTCTGTTGCATTTCTGGTTATTTTCCCTGACTGAATGGCAAAGCAGACCAGGTGTCTAGATTCTGGCAGGAGAGCGCTGTGCGAATGTAAAAGAAAGCCACCATTAATAGGAATAACCTGGTTTGCAAATCATGGCAGTCTAGAGCTAGGACAGATTTGAGAGACCCCAGAATGACAGAACTGGGGAGATGAGCCAGAGCTTCAGTCCAGCTCAGAGAGGTCAGGCAACCCGCCCAAGGACATCTGGAACTAGCATCAGGGCCTCAGGCTCAGAGCGGGTGCTTACTCTTCTGCGCTCAACTGTGCCTTATGCGAAGACGTGGCTGAGTGGTACCTGCTGCTCGTTTCTGTGAGAGCCTGGGAAAGTGATAAAACCTCTCCTAGCTCAGTTTGCTTGTTTGCAAAATGGAGATAATAGCAGTAATGGTCTCTTAGGGTTGTCAGGAGGATTAATGAGTTACTAGATGTGAAATGATTAGGACTCTACCTGGCACTTGGTAAGAGCTCAGTACACCTAAACTATTCTTGTTGTTGTACTAATAAAAATTACCTATTTTTATTATTGACCCAATGTTTGCTCAGAATTGTTTATCCAGGAATAGAGACACTCAGAGATTTCCTAGGTCCTTAATGGTGGTTTCTTGCAGGCAATGGCATGCAGTTCTAAGAGAGCCAGGGTATTTATCTTTTAGGCCTGTTGTAACAAATTACCCCCAAATTGGTGGGTTTAAACAATAGATATTTATTCTTGCACAGTTTGGGAGGCAAAAAGTCCAAAGTCAAGGTGTCACCTGGGCCATGGCCCCTCCAAAGAGTCAAGAGGAGGATGGTTCTTTGCCTCCTCCAGCTTCTTGTCTTATTCCCTCATCAGCCCACCCTCTGTCCCCATCTCCATGTGACCTTCCCCACTTCTCCATGTGTCTCTCCCCTGTGTCTCTCTTGTGAGGACACTTATCATTGGATTTAGGACCCACCCAGATAACGCAGGATCTCATCTCTGATCTCCTCCTGAGGTCCTTAACTTAGTTATATCTGCAAAGATGTTTTTTTCCAAATGAGGTCACATTCACAGTTCTAAGACATGGACAAATCTTTCTCGGGGCCACCGTTTAACACATCTCAGCTGGCCATTATGGAGATGAGAGGTGGGTATTGGAAATGGAACAAAAGTAGAAGGAATTAAAGCCATCGATTTGGCTTTGGTTGAACTTTTTCCTAAGCTGCCCTATTCTCTGGTACGTAGAGGGGCACAAGTGGTAGAAAGAGATAAATGAGACTAGAAAGAGTTATCATTCAACGGATCAAAAAGAAACATGGATTGTGACTGGTAAAGAAGGTAGACCCTCATTCATTCATTCTCCATTCATTCATTCATTCATTCAACAAACACTGATCGAGAGCCTGTGGTGTCCCTGGTGCTACCATATACTACATGCCAGGACATTTTTCCTGTCCTCATAAAGCCAATAGTCTAGGGAGGAACACATATGTTGATCAAAAACTTGAAACCAACCCAAATGCCCATCAATGGCAGAACGGATAAAGGAAATGTGGCACATAGACACCATGGAATACTATGCAGCCATAAAAAGAACAAGTTCATGTTCTTTGCAGGGACATGGATGAAGATGGAAACCATTATTCTCAGCAAACTAACACAGGAACAGAAAACCAAACACTGCATGTTCTCACTCATAAGTGGGAGTTGAACAGTGAGAACACATGGACACAGAGAGGGGAATATCATACACTGGGGCCTGTCGGGGGGTTGGGGACAAGGGGAAGGAGAGCATTATGACAAATACCTAGTGCATGATGGGTTGATGGGTGCAGCAAACCACCATGGCACATGTATACCTATGTAACAAACCTGCACGTTCTGCACATGTATACCAGAATTTAAGTAAAGTTTTTATTTAAAATTTAAAAAAAGATACAATACAATATGGTGAGTATGAACCTTGAGCTATTCTCAAAGGATTAGAAGTGCAGAGAGGAAGCATGCAACGTGCTTAGGGTTGGGGTGCAGGGAGAGAGGGGGTGAGTGGTGTATCAGGGCAGGCTTCCTGAGGGAGGTGACACTGAGTCAGATCTGAAAGAATAAGTCAAGTCATACATGAAAGATGCTATGGAGGGAGGGGATAGGAAGAGGAAAAGAAGACTGGCCACAGGAGCACAGGCATGGGGGCAATCAACAAATATGGGGTCCTGGAGGCAACACAGGATTCTCTGAGCATGGAGAGGGAGGAGGGACTGTGTGATGAGTCCACAGAGCTGGGCAGGGCAGATTCTGGGAGCCCTGTACACCATGCTAAGCACAGAGCATGGCTCTTAATGGATAGAAAACCTTTCAGTGTTTGTAAGTATTTTAAGCATTTATAGAGAGATTTGCCTTTTAGAAGACACACTCTTGGTTGTGTAGAAGAGACTGGAGGGTGGAAATCGAGCAGGAGATCAGTGAAGGAAGATTTTGCAGAAACTCAGTCAACAGAGGATCAAGACCTGGACTTAGTTACTGGGATTGTGAGAGAGGAGAGACCAAAAAATGCCTTCTATATCTCCAGCATAGAAGAGTGGTGGTAAGTACAGGGAGGAGCGGAGTTTGAAGGGAAGAGCACGATTTCTGCTGCGGTCCTCAGTGAGGAAATCCAGGAAGACAGGCCAGGTGGAAACAGGAATTGGAAACATGAGTTTGGGGCTTGGGGAGGAGGCGAAGCTGGTGGTATCTATTTGCAAGTCATCAGCATGTGTATTGGTTTCCAGTGGCTGCTATTACGGAGAACCATAGACTGGGTTACTTAAAGCAATAGAAATTTATTCTGTCACTGTTTCTGGAGGCCAGAAGTCTGAAATCAAGGTGTCATCAGAGTTGGTTCCCACAGGAAGCTCTAGGGAGAATCTGCTCCATGTTTCCCTCCTGGCTTCTGATGGCTGCCCACAGTCCTTGGAGTCCACTAGCTTGTAGACCTATCACTCCCATCTCTGCCGCTATCTTCAAAAGGCATTCTCCCCATGTCTGTCCCTGTGTCTCTTCTCCTCTTATGGAGACTCTAGTCATACTGGATTAGGGCCCATGCTATTCCACATGACCTCACCATAACGAATTATATCTTGAGAGACCCCATTTACAAATCAGTTCACGTTCTGAGGCTCCAGGAAGGACACAGATTTTTGGGAGGGG
The DNA here is from genome assembly GCF_000001405.40 of Homo sapiens. Classification (NCBI taxonomy): domain Eukaryota; kingdom Metazoa; phylum Chordata; class Mammalia; order Primates; family Hominidae; genus Homo; species Homo sapiens. Next base: position 14,400,662 of record NC_000010.11, on the reverse strand, counting down.
ACCCTGTTCTGCCCAACACAATATCTATGTGGTATTTAAAACAATGGGATTATGAGCTCATTCAAGACAGGGGTAACGAGTTGAGGACAAAACACCAAATTTTGGAGCTAGTGCAGACAGAGGAGCCATAGATGGAGAGGAGAGTCTGGCAGAACCAGGAGAGGCAACATCACAGAAATGGACAGTTTCAGGAGGAAGATGGCAGTGGACATTGTCAAGTTTGTTAGTGGAAGAGAGATAGTTTGGAATTGTCATTGAGGGAAAAGGGAGCTGGCCAGCAGTGAGTAAAAGACTAAGAATCCTTTTCAGATGTAGACTAGGACTTTGTAGACACACTATGCAATTTTCCCTATTATAAGCTTTCTTTCTTTTGTGTTCAGAAGCAGAGAAGGTAGAACATAGTACTAATGTAAGAATGAGGTCTTGGTAGGTAAGTGGACAGGAGGAACTAGGTGCAAGAGAATTGGGTGCAAGACTGCAGAGAAGCTCAGATGATCAGCCATGGAGTTGAGGCTGGTGAGAAAGGAGGAGGGACCAGGAGATGCTGATGGACTGAAGAGAGGAACATAGCAATTGATTAGATTGTGAAATGTAAGAGAGTGCCTCCAATTATAGATGCTAATAGTTATTAATAATAACTTTAATTTTCTCATTTCAACCAAGACAATTTCATGTTTAGCTAAGTGAAGATGTTGTGGGTGAAGAGATGTTGCTCCTAGGAAATTTAATGGAATTTAAAAAATGCATGAATCTCAATGATTACTGATGACTCATAAAACCTTTTCTTGGAGCTCAATGGACTAATTCAAAGTCGCACTAGATAATTAGTGGCAAGGCAGAGACTGGAATGAGGGCAATGGTAATATCAACCACCCGACCGATAGATATGATCCATGTTTAGCCTTACCAAACCTGATGACTGTCTTTTCTCAATGCACTTTGTCACTCAACCCTTCCTTTCCTTTCCACCACCTCCACCTTAGCTCACAACCTCATCACCTTGTGCTAGATTTAAGGAGGGAATGTCCAGGTGCTAGCCACACTTCTAGTCCTTTCTCTACCCTAATTTTGTTTCACAGGCCATAGAATCATGGAGTTTCTAGAGAAGAATAATGAGGCTTTCAATGGATTTCAACTTCCTGGGCTCGAGCGATCCTCCCACCTCAGGCTTTCAAGTAGCTAGGACTACAGGCATGTGCTAGCACGCCAACGAAGTTTTGTCCACCTCAGCCTTTCAAGTAGCTAGGACTACAGGCATGTGCTACCACGCCAATGAAGTTTTGTAGAGATGGGATCTCACTATATTGCCCAGGCTGGTCTCAAACTTCTGGGCTTAAGCGATCCTCCTGCCTTGGCCTCCCAAAGTGCTGGAATTATGGACATGAGTCTCCACTCCCAACCTGAAAGTTTCTATGCATTTCTCCCATACAAAACACTTTGTGACTTCCCATTTTCTACACGGTGAAATCTACATTTCTAGCCTCTATTATCTGACTTCTGTTTGATTTCTCACGTTATTCTCCTGCAAGTTGCCTTTTACAACCAGAATGACCCAAACCATTTCTTTCCCCCTCAAAACCACTGTAATCATATTCTTATATACTGGAATTATCTACTTCTTCTTGTCCACTCTACTTAGTCCATATATTCTCAAGCTACAAGTTATGTCCTATATCCTCTTTGAATTCTTCTCCCACCATTTTAGCCTCTCACCAACTTTTTGTTTTCTAGTGACTTTCTTTGGTTTTTATTAACCATACTGTTCATGGAGCATATTTTATTTTTCAATATTTTTACTATTAATTTTGTGGGTACACAGTGTATATATTTCTGGGATACCTGAGATATTTGGATACAGTCATGCAATGCATAATAATCATATCAGGGTGAATGGAGATCCATAGCCTCAGGCATTTATCCTTTGTATTATAAACAATCCAATTATACTCTTTTAGCTATTTAAAAATGAAAAATTGGCCGGACGTGGTGGCTGGTGCCTCTAATCCCAGCACTTTGGGAGGCTGAGGCGGGTGGATCATGAGGTCAGGAGGTCAAGACCATCCCGGCCAACATGGTGAAACCCTGTCTCTACTAAAAATACAAAAAAAATTAGCTGGGCATGGTGGCGGGGACTTGTAGTCCCAGCTACTCGGGAGGCTGAGGTATGAGAATTGCTTGAACCAGGAGGCACAGGTTGCAGTGAGCTGAGATTGCACCACTGCACTCCAGCGTGACAACAGAGTGAGACTCTGTCTCAAAAAAAAAAAAAGTACAATTAAATTCATATTGACTATAGTTACCCTATTGTTCTATCAAATACTAGATATTACTCATTATTTCTAACTATTTATTTGTACCTATTAACCATGCTCCACCTACTATCCCACCACCTCACTAACCTTCCCAGCCTCTGGTAACCATCATTCTCTCTATCTCCATGAGTTCAACTGTTTTAATTTGAAGTTTCCACAAATAAGTACGAACACCCGAAGTATGTCTTTCTGAGACCACGAGGCATATTTTATGTAATACTATGCATTAGTTTTTATTTTTTTGTATTTCTTTTCCTTTTTGCCAGATCTAAAAATTCTTGGAAAAGCCAACGTGATATGGTAGAAAATCCTGAAAAGAGAGTAAGAGAACCTAGGTTGTAAACCTAGTGATACAAGTGATTAACTCTGTGATTTTGAGTAAATCTCAGGGCACCTCAAGTCTCTGTTTATAGACGTAAGACCTGCGCTGGTCTCTTGGGCATGCTAGGTGCTCAATACATCATTGATGCTTTCTTCAGAACCCCCCTTTCCTAATTATGAAATTCTAGACATGCAGAGGCTAGGGGCCACTTTGAATTCCCATGTTCTTAAGGAATGCAATTGCCCTCAAAGATGGTTTGTTTTAAAATTTTAAAAATTAAATATACTCCCTTTGTTTCACCACTGATTTTCTCTTCTTTATAGTACCTGCTTCCGAGTACTAATAAACAGAGCAACCTTGACTTAATGCCTTAGATAGAGAAAAGAAGGTTCAATTGCACACCTTGAGAAAAATGAACCAGAAGGTTTGCTAGAATCCCTGCAGGAGAGGACATTATTTGGTTTGGGAAGGAAATGGACTTCAATTCTCTGGTCTCTTCATTGTTTGACTTTGCAGCTTTTTTTTTTTTTTTTTTTTTCCCCAAACTCCATGGGTCAAGGAAAAAGGAAGGTGAAACCCATGGACAACTGCGACATCAGACACAGCTGGCTGGGCCGCTCCGCCAGCCCCCACTCAGCAGGCGGGATGCAATGTTCAGGGCAAGGGAGGCAGCCAGCCCCTGGCGTGACATTTTCAGCTGTGCAGCTGTGGGCCCTGGCACGTTGCTGCTGGAGCTTGATGGTTGCCTTCCAGCCCCTGAATAGCTTTTGATTAGGATGGGATGCCTAGCAGATGAGTCAGATTTAAACCACGCTGCATGTGGTTAGTAGCAGCCATTTTTTTAATCACTGTCATATTGACGGGGATTACAACTCCCCATGAGATGTCTTAATTTATTTGGCCCCTAACCTTTAAGATGACAATCGCATTTTGTGAGCTTCTGATGCTTTTCTTTTTACAGTCACAATTTCCCCCAGACCCAGGCCTTTAACTCCTTTCCAGAATTAGATGGACCATGGATACCATCAGTTCTGGGCCTGACTGTACTGTAATTAGAGTCCCAGAAATGTTTGGAGCTGACTTTTACACCCTATTCTTCTTATGATACCAGAAGTTGGTGTGCTCTGGATCAGAGAGGGAATTTCAGAGCAGAAACAACTAATAAAACTGTGACCTGGAGTGGTGGGGGAAATGGATACCAGGCATTCAACAGAAAGGCCGTAGAATATGGGGCCTCCTAAAGTGTGATTCCCCTCATGGCCACTAGGTCAATGAGTCCTGAAATTTTGCCAACAGAAAATAATTCTTCTGGCTTAAACGTGTTATTTTATTGGCAAGCAGGTGTTCCTGGAAGGGGTCGCCAATTGGTCTCTTTTCAGACATAAATGCCTAAATGTGCATGAGTTTGTCAGATCACTTCCTGAGGTTAGATTTTGTTGGAGAGCTCAAAAAGTGAAAGAAAGGGCTGCGTACATTCCTGTAATTCCAGCGCTTTGGGAGGCCGAGGAGGGCGGATCACCTGAGGTCAGGAGTTTGAGACCAGCCTGGCCAACACAGTGAAACTCCAACACTACTAAAAATACAAAAATTAGCCAGGCATGATGGCAGGCACCTGTAAATGCAGCTACTTGGGAGGCTGAGAGAGGGAGAATTGCTTGAACCCAGGAAGCGGAGATTGCAGTGAGCCGAGATCATGCCATTGCACTCCAGCCTGCGTGACAGAGCAAGCAAGGCTCAGTCTCAAAAAAAAAAAAAAAAAAAAAAAAAAAAAAGTGAAAGAATAAGGCACTGAACAATTGGTGGGATGAATCAGGAGAGGGGCTGTGGGGCTGTCAGAGATGGGGAGAGTAAAGAAAGGGGGGCTCACTGTACCCATTTTCCTAGGCATGGCACTGTTAAGGAACAGAATGATGGAAAATCTAGACATCGTAGATGATATTAGGTTGGTGCAAAAGTAATTGCAGTTTTTGCCACTAGAAGTAATGGCACCAACCTAATAGTGATAGGAACAAAGTCATGTTTAGAATTCTGCTCTCATAGAGAGACAGGGAACAACCCAGCCTGTACCTTATAGCACAGCAGTGCATTGAGTAAGGTCCAGGGGCATGTTAAACGCATAGCCTAATACATTCGCCCTCTCCCTACTCCTCCCATTCCAACAAAGCATTTCATAGTCCACGGTCCCTTGTCTCAGCTCTCATAACACCATATGAAAATACAAGAGCTTTCCACAAAGTCATGCTAAGAGGGTTAAGTCATTAAAAAGACAATATTGTACCTATATTAAAAATAAGAGCCATAAATAGTCCTATAGCCCTTGGAGTATAAATATTACTGTGTTTCCTTTATTTTCCCAAATTAAGATTGGTTGACCCCTGTGAAAATAAAAAATGATAAACTTAGAATCATATTATAGTAGTCTTAGTAAAAACTAGAAAAAATAAGGTTATAATGGCTTTGATAGGGTCAAATCTTGAAATAAAATAAACTTTGTTTGTAAAATGAGTTCAAGAACTCAAAGTGGTTGGGTGCAGTAGCTCACGCTCTAATCCTAACACTTCGGGAGGCAAAGGTGGGTGGATCACTTGAGGTCAGGAGTTTGAGGCCAGCCTGGCCAACATGGTGAAACTTCATTTCTACTAAAAATACAAAACTGATCCGGGAGTGGTGCCACGTGCCTGTAATCCCAGCTACTCAGGAGGCTGAGGCACGAGAATGGCTTGAACCTGGGAGGCAGAGGTTGCAATGAGCTGAGATCTCAACACTGCCCTTCAGCCTGGACAACAGAGTGAGACTTCATCTCAGAAAAAACAAAAACAGAAACTCAAAGTGCAGGACTAAGCACTTCCTAATCTCAAAAAATTGAGAAAAGTTAAATTAAGCAGTGCTCATATTTGGTGGTCAATAGAATACAATTGTACAACAACCTTCAGCCAAAGGAAGACACCTTTGGGTGTGGGGAAAAGGGGCAGGGGAGAAGGAGATAGATAGATAGATAGATAGATAGATAGATAGATAGATAGAGAGATAGATAGATAGATAGATTGATTATGGGAGTTCCTTCACATAATGATGGAGGCCACAAAGTCCCATGATATGCCGTCTTCAAACTGAAGACCCGGAGGAGCTGATGGGGTGATTCAGTCCGAGTCTGAAGACTTGAGAACCAGGGCAGCCAATGGTGCAACTGTCAGTCTGAGTCCAAAGACCTAAGAAACTGGAGGCCACTCATGTTGTATTTCAGAGTCCAAAGGCCAAAGAACCAGGAGCTCTAATGTCTGTGGGCAGGAGAAGATGCATGTCTCATTCAGCTTGAGAGATGGCTGGGCACAGTGGCTCACACTTATAATCCCAGCACTTTGGGAATCCGAGGCAGGAGGATCACTTGAGGCCGGTGGTTCCAGACCAGCCTGCCTGGGCAACAAAGCAAGACCTCATCTCTTAAAAAAAAAAAAAAAAGCAAATTTGTCCTTCCTCCATTTTTAAAATTCTCTTCTGGCCTCAATAGATTGGATGACGCTTGTCACATTGGTGAGGTGATCTTTACTCAGCCTGCCAATTCAAATGCTAACCTCTTCTGAAAACATACATGCAGAAATAATAATAATAATTTTACCAGCTATCTGGGCATCCCTTGGCCCAGTCAAGTTGACACAAAAAATTAACCATCACAACCAGAAAGCTCACATAGTCTAAAATGAGGTCTGTCAAACTTTGTTCTTAAGCTTACATGAGCATGCTATACTTCCAGAACCCAACACTTTGATATCTGGTCTTATGACTGCTGTTGATCAGATTTCAGGGACTGAGAAAATGCATATACTCCCTCTTAAATCAGACACAAAAGCCTCACTGAACTCAATAAGATTAATATATGTGGTGGGCCATTAGTCCATCTGTATTCAACTAGGAGTCTGATTCATTTCACATAAATAAAAGTAGGCAGCCAAAGTTATGTAATGAATATAGGGCATTTTCTATAATCACCTGACACACTTAGGACTACCATGTTCTAGATAGTCAGCATAAATATAGCCTAGTAAATAGTGTATATGTATATGTATATGTTCAAGAGAAGTGGGTAAAGTGAGCAAAGACTCCTCTAGGATTCCTGTGGTACTGAATCCTCTAGGATTCAGTGTCATGTACGTGATTTTGAGTGTACATTCTGAGTTCTTGAATAATGCCTATCTGGTTACCCAAAAGTGATCATCTCTATAAATGATACCATAATTTTCTTAGGGGATCTGGTTTAGTAAAGCAGATATATCAAGATACTCCTTGCTTGCCTGGGTGTGGCTGGAAATACACCAGATTGGAGAAATGTGCATCTGATAACCATTGAAGTTGAGGTTTTAGTTTATCTCCTTCAACCAAGGGTTCTCACTGAATCTTTTGAAGGTCAACGTCCCTATCCAGCCCAACCAAGTACTCTTAATAGTGATTTTGATCTTATGGTATATGACTAGCACTTTGTGTTATAACTCTTCATGCCGTATGCTCCCCTATTTGAAGGAATGTTATAAAATCCCCCCCACCTTATTGAATGCTATTGATTAACCGATTCAGTCATTTATTCACTCAGTTCTTTGTTTATTAAATAATGCCCGAAGTATTCTAGGCCATTAGTCAGGAGTTAGTTAACATATACTTTCTAAGCTCTGGGGTTAAAATGGTGAGACAAATAGACATGTTTTCCACTCTCACAATCTAGCAAAGAAGACAGACATTAAGCATGTAATGGAAACTCATTACATGCCTAATGACAGGCAGGGGAAATGCAGTAAAGAAGAACTGGATGTCATGGGCGCATTTGAGAGGGAGCCAGGGAAGTCAGGAAGGCTTCCTTGTGGAAGTCAAAGCAGAAATAGGTTGGAAGTATTTGCATATCACTGGATAGTGTGGATGCTATTTTGCCTGGGTTATAAGATGTGCCTGGGACCCCAACTCACTGATACTGTATTCTGTGGCCACTTGAATTGGTCATAAAGCTGTTTCATGTGTCTCTGCATTTCTGGAGGACAGTGATTCAATGGGACATGCATGAAACTAGGAGACCTGCACCCAGGTCAGTTGCTGGAGCGGGGGAAAACTTACAGACTTTCTTCAACCTTGAGCTGCTGCTGTTTACGGATTTTTATCCTTAAGTGTTAAAACAGTTTCAGGGTAGTCAATGACCTTATTAAGAACTTTCCTTTCTACTCTAGTCCTAATAGGGTAATTCGGGTTTTCACACCCCTATCATACTGAAGGGGAACATAAAGCAACTATGGATCTCACTAACAATGGCATCCAGTCAATAGCTCCCTGTGGGAGTCCAACCCACAAATCTTCCCCATCTCATCAAGGAATGCTTGGAGTTTCTTACATCTACTTCTGAGTAGCTATGAGAAGTTCTTTCCAGACTGCTTCTGAGGGATCCCCCTGTTTCAGTCACTGTGTCAATACCTTTGTGATAGTGCCAGGAGGTGCATCCCAATTTGCTGACATTAACTTGGGGTCTAGGTTCTCTTGTTTTGTTGAGACAGGCAGCCATGTGCTTTGGGTTCCTGACAGCAATGAATCTAGTTGTCTTTGCTTTGAATCAAAATTCCAGTTTGCCACAACCCATCCACCACCCTTCCAGAACTTGTCGCAACTCTTCTGTGGGAGAAGGAGAGAATTAAGAAGCAATATATTTGGGAGGCCGAGATGGGCGGATCATGAGGTCAGGAGATCGAGACCATCCTGGCTAACATGGTGAAACCCCGTCTCTACTAAAAATACAAAAAAAAATTTAAAAAGTAGCCAGGTGTGGTGGCACGCACCTGTAGTCCCAGCTACTCGGGAGGCTGAGGCAGGAGAATCACTGGAACCTGGGAGGCAGAGGTTGCCATGAGCCGAGATTGCGCCATTGCAGAGCAAGACTCCTCAAAAAAAAAAAAAAAAAGAAATATAAACAAGACCACTTGGTGCTGCCACCTGTGGGCCTGTGCCCCATTCCTGCTTCTTTTTTTTTTTTTTTGGAGGCAGAGTCTCACTCTGTCGCCCAGGCTGGAGTACAGTGGCACCTTCTCAGCTCATTGCAACCTCCGCCTCCTCCCAGGTTCAAGCAATTCTCCTGCCTCAGCCTCCTGGGTAGCTAGGATTACAGGTGTGCGCCACCACACCCGGCTAATTTTTGTATTTTTAGTAGAGATGGGGTTTCACCATGTTGGCCAGGCTGGTCTTGAACTGCTGACCTCAAGTGATCGGCCTGTCTTGACCTCCCAAAGTGCTGGGAGTACAGGTGTGAGCCACCACACACACTTCTTAGCTGACAATGTGGGCTCCTTAGCTTGGAGAAAGGGGCCCTGCCCAGATGCAGGAACAACGTGCAGATAATTTAGGGGAGAGGGAGCCCAATCTATTACACACAAATTCAAAATTTCCAAAGCTTTGCGTGGGAACTGCTGTTATAAATCCTGTTATCTGTTAATGGGATTTGGGCCTGAAACGCCCACATGCTGCTTTGAAATTTTCCTCCATCTGTTCATTTCTGCAAAGCTTATTTAGGGCAAGCGACGTAGCCTACTAGTGTTTCCAGCTGAACAATTTGGGATTGTAGATCTGTGGAGAAAATAGATAAATGGTTTGCTGGGGACTTCCTGCTATGTATCTTCTTAGGCCCCCTCCTCTGGCGTCTTCTGTTGAGAAGGTTCTTGAAGAAGTGGAGTAGGAGGAATCATTAGCAACACTGCATAGAAGGAAGAGTGATGGGCAAGAGTTGTCCACTCAACTGTGGAAATGAGATCAAATAAATACTTAAGAGACTCTTTTGGGAATTGACCCTGGTTAGACCTAGTTCAGGAACACATCAGTTCCTTAATTTATCTTTGGAAAATCTCACTATAAACACTAGCCTTTAAAAAAAATTCAACTTCTATAGTTTTTTCTCATCTCCTTGTTGGTTATGGGTCAGCCACACCTAGAAGGTTTCTTCCCTCAGAATCACTTTCCTTCCCTTTCATGCCAGGTGAATGTTGGCCCTCGGGCTTTTTGAGCCATGTTGAGAGCTGTCATGGATAAAATGAGCCCAAAGCTCTCAGGGCCCTGACCCCTTCACTGGCCTGTTTGCTGCTCTTGGCCACAACTCTTCTACAGACCCAGTTTTCTTTTCGGAAAGATATGGAAGTACAAAGTCTCAGAGTTATTTCATAATTACAAAGTACTTCTTAGATACTTATCCCTCCAGCAAATATTTCCTAAGTGTCCAATAGGCACTGCACACTGGCAGGTCCCAAGGATACAGAGGTGAAAAAGATACAAAAGGTTTTTACCTCCACAGACCATACGGTTGAGTGAAAGAACTGAAATTAAGCAAATAACTATATGTACACGCATATTTTCCAGTTGCAATAAGTGTTATAAAGGAAAGTGTAATGAAAGATTAAAACTGGAGAACTTGATTGAGATGGAGGGCTTCCTGGAGGAGGAAACTTTCAACCTAAAGGCATTATTCCTCTCTTATGTCTAGATTCCACTTTCATTAAGGGCATGATTGAGACTTAAGTCAGCAACAACAACTCTTGTGGCTTTTCAAAGCAAATTTGCCTGGGTGTGACTATTCCTTTCCATTTCAGTGCTTTGATAATTGAAACCAAGGAACCACAAAACATCTAGAGATGAGTTATCTCCTAACCTGTTTTCAGTGTCTGTGTAACTCATTTGGAAAGTACTAGATTCATAGTTCTACAGATGAGCCTTTTCCACAAAGGTGGTGAAGTCGCTGGGAAGGGAGTAGGATGGGTAGTGTTTGTGGGAGGAAGACTCTGCTGACAATAGGCCCTGAGGCCAAAATAGAGGACCTTCCCTCCATGTTGGTGCAAAAGTAATTGCGGTTTTGAACCATGAATTTTAAATCATTATAACTAGGTTCACAAACATCTTTATTAATAAAAATAGGGACCATTACAATCAACACATTTTTGCCAATGAGAAATGAGTTTGTTTATTCCTGTAGCATAAAAATCCATGCTTTGGGATTTGATGAACTGTTGGAAAGCATTTTCTGCATCCTGCTGGTTATGGAAGCGTTTTCCCTGCAAAAAGTTGTCAAAGTGTCTGAAGAAGTGGTAGTTGGTAGGTGAGAGGTCGTGTGAATATGGCAGATGAGGTAAAACTTTGTAGTCCAATTTGTTCAATTTTTGAAGCACTGGTTGTGGGACATGTGGTTGGGCTTTGTCCTGGGGAAGAATTGGGCTGTTTCTGTTGGCCAATGCCGGCTGCAGGCATTGAGGTTTTCAGCGCATCTCATTGATTTGCTGGGCATCCTTCTCAGATATAATGGTTTCACTGGGATTCAGAGAGCTGTAGTGGATCAGGCCAGCAGTAGACCACCAAACAGTGACCACGACCTTGTTTTGGTGCAAGATTGCCTTTGGGAAGTGCTTTGCAGCTTCTTCTTGGTCCAGCCACTGAGCTGGTTGTCACTGGTTGTCATATAAGATCCACTTTTCTTGCCTGTCACAAATCTGATCAAGAATTGACTCCTTGCTGTTGTGTAGAATAAGAAAAGATGACACTTTGAAACAATAATTTTTTTGATTTTTGCTCAGCTCATGAGGCACCCACTTACTGAGCTTTTTCATCTTTCCAATTTGCTTCAAATGCCCAATGACTGTAGAATGGTTGTCGTTGAGTTATCAGCAACTTCTCATGTAGTTGTAAGAGGATCAGCTTCTGCGATTGCTCTCAATTGGTCTTTGTCAACTTCCGATGGCTGGCCACGACACTCCTCATCTTCAAGGCTCTCCTCGTCTTTGCAAAACTTCTTGAACCACCACTGCACTATATGTTTTTTAGTACAGTAGGCCAAATACATTGTTGATGTCGCAAGTTGTCGCCGCTGCTTTACAACCCATTTTGAACTCGGATAAGAAAAGCACTTGAATTTGCTTTTTGTCTAACATTATTTCCACAGTCTAAAATAAACATAAAATAAACAGCAAGTAATAAGTCATTAGCCAAAAAACATAAAGCAAGAAATGCCCATTAAAATGATGTATAAGATAACCACATTTATTTAAGAATGTATCCAATATCAAATGTCAAATTCCAACGATGCAAAAACCGCAATTACGTTTGCACCAATCTAATAATTCCAGGTGATCTATGGAGGTGGGACATTGATGTAGAGTTGAGGACGATAACTGGCTTCAGGATTTCTCAAGAAAAGCTTTGAGAGATCTACACCTTGGAAACCCCAGCCCTAGAGGAGTGTTCTTCCAAGACTCCACGAACAGGAAAAAGTCCTGGATAGCAGCTGAGTGCCGCCATATTAACCCTTTGGGATGGGCCCCAGAATCTGTGTTTCCATCCAGTTCCCAGGTGATGTTGACGCTGCTGACCCTGCAAGCAACCTCCGAGGTCTCTCTCCTGGTTTCTCTCTGCTTCCCTCAAATTTCTCACTTCTTCCACGGACACTTATTTTTACCCACACTTGTTATCACTCTCTCCTTTCTACAAATCTACCAGACCCCAACCTTCATCTCAGCTCACAATTTGGTCATTTCTAAAATGAATGAAACAGGCCGGGAGCGGTGGCTCATGCCTGTAATCCCAGCACTTTGGGAGGCCGATGTTCTGTGCTGGAAACACGTGAGAGGAGAAGAAAAGGCACACACACAATACCTTTAAGGGTGAACAACTTTTATCCCTGTAAATGACAATGCAGATATAATAAGCAAACCATATAATAAGCAAACGATATAATAAGCAAGTGATATAATAAGCAAATTGCAATGGGAAGGGGAGAAGGGAAAAGATACTTGCACTCACCAGACTATGGAGGATTCAGCACCAGACCGGGAAGCGACCGCCTGGGCTCCAGAGTCGGCCACTCCTCTGTGCACAGATGAGGAGAGGTCTCATGAAGCTTCGGCGCAGTCTGGGAACCTAGCTCTTTTTGTAGCGAGTTGTTTGGCATGAGGTCCAGTCACGAGGGCTCTTCATTGCTGTGGTCAAGGAACACAAAAAGGTCAACTTATTCTTGTGATTGTCTATTGTTTTTCACTAACTAACATATAGGAATAGATTGAAATAAAGATTTCTCTGAAACAGTGCTGGATGAAAGCCTCAAAGGGCTCATACAACCTGTTCTGGGACTTGGTGTCCATTGGTTATGTCCATGTTCAACTGAGTTCAAATCTAATATTTAACTTTTCCTCCACAGCCGAGGCAGGTGGATCACCTGAGGTCAGTAGTTTGAGACCAGCCTGGCCAACATGGTGAAACCTTGTCTCTACTAAAAATAGAAAAATTAGCCAGGCCTGGTGGCGGGCTCCTGTAATCCTAGCTACTCAGGAGGCTGAGGCACGAGAATCACTTAAACACTGGAGGTGGAGGTTGCAGTGAGCTGAGATAGCTTCACTGCACTCCAGCTTGGATGACAGACTGAGACTCCATCTCAAAAAAATAAATAAATAAAATTTAAAAAACAAAATGAACGAAGCAAAGAAAATATATGCTTTTTGCTTTCCCCATAGCACAGATATTATATCTGGGGCTTAGAGGAGCACGTAGGGCTACCCAGTATCTATAATAGAAAAGAAATCCTTTCTTTTTTTTTTTTTTCTGAGACACTGTCTCGCTCTGTCACCAGGCTGGAGTGCTGGAGTGCGGTGGTGCGATCTCAGCTCACTGCAACCTCCACCTCCCTGGTTCAAGTGATTCTCCTGCCTCGGCCTCCCAAGTACCTGGGATTATAGGCACACACCACCACGCCCAGATAATTTTTGTATTTTTAGTAGAGACAGGGTTTCACCATGTTGGCCAGGATGGTGTCCATCTCCTGACTTCATGATCCGCTTGCCTCAGCCTCCCAAAGTGCTGGGATTACAGGCGTGAGCCACCACGCCTGGCCCCTTTCTTTTTATGTCTTTCTGGTCTCTACTGAGTTTGTTTTAGGCTTATCATTTTCCAATGCTGGAATTGTTTTGTTTCTCAGAAATAGTTTTAACCTAAAACCCATTGGTTATGAAACAAAACTGCATAATGTCTACATGGGCATCCATTCATAGTGAAGTTTCATTGTAGTTAGATCGACTTTAGTGAACCTTTTTTGGATTCATTTGACAATGAGTTTGGATAACTCAGGAAAGGATGTAGAATCAATGATTTATGCATTATAGTCTGAAGTATGTAGCTGAATTTCAGTACTAATAATAGCATAGAATGGTGCTGTCCAAAATGCAACTCACATGTGTAATTTTAGAATTTCTAGTAGTCACATTTAAGAAAAGTAAACAGAAATGGGCGAAATGATTAATAGGGTATTTCATTTAACCTAATATATCCAGAATATTATTTCCACATGAAATCAGTATAAAAATTTTTAACGAGAAATGTACATTTTTTATACTAAATCTTTGAAGTCTAGTGTGCGTTTTGTGCTTACAACACATCTGAATTTGGACGGGCCACCTTTCAAGTGCTAGGTAGCCACATGTGGTTAGTGGCTTCTGAATGAGACAACACAGATATAAAGCATCGTTTTCTACTTTCTCTTTGACTGCCAGGGTTTAAGTAATGTCACTGTAAGGTTAACACAGTTTCAGTATTGTTTAGCCCAAATGCCACGTTTTATGGGTAAGATAATTGAGTCAGGGAAAGAGAATGTAGCTTGCCAGAGCACAGTGAGCTGGGCAGGCTCTGAGTTCACATCTCCTGCAGCCCAGCCAGGGCTCTTTCCCAACCAGACTACGCGCAGGCTGTGGTGACTCGCAGCACTTGTCTAGACAAGGAACGTGTCAATCTTTGATGATGTTGCATTCTGTGCTCTGCCTCTGAATTGAGATAGGATCAGTCTCAAATTCTTGAGATAAATTCATTAATTCACCGGCTCATTGATTCATTTGCCAGCCTACTACCTGTTAGACACTAGGAATGCCAATACACCCTAGAAAGACTCAGTCTGTGGGGGACAGACCAGCATTCCGCATTCATTGCAGCATCACCAAATACTGTGATGAAAGGTTTAACCAGAATGTGCACAGGTTTCAAATAGCTCTGAGGCCATCAGTGAAGGGACTGTGACTAAAGGCATATTATATGAAATGGCAGGAGTGCAGTGGAGAGTCTAACAGAATGGACAAGCACCACTGGCGACCAGGCTGAAATTCAGATCTTGATTCCTTCATGCAATAAACGTTTATTGAGCTCGTGTTGGGCATGTTAGGGAAATGCAGTGACAAACAAGATATACAGTTTGTGTATCAAAGAAGGTTGCCATCTAGAGGGGAAAACGTTCCAAAATCAATGTATTAAAATGAATAAACAAGTTACAAACTATGAAGCTAGGATAAGAAACAACATAAAGGGGCAGGGAATGATGGACAGGGGCAAGATATTTGACATTGATGGTCAGAGAAGACCCCTCTTTGGGGTTCGTATTACAGAAAGACTAGCTGTTTTAAGCATAATAGAAACACCCCAAAATGTGTCATGGCTCAAAGACAAGTTTTTTTCTTTCCACCCACATACAATCCAAAATGAACATGGCTTGATCAGCAGGTGCCTCTCTTCCATGCAGTGATTCAGGGACCCTGGCCCCAGCCATCTGTGGCTCCTCAGTTTTTAACATTTCCCTTCCATAATCCCCTTGCCCTTCTGCATCAGGGTTTTCTCCAGAATGGGTAGAAAGCCTGCAGTGATGCTGGTGATTTTCTTTCTCACCATCACTGGACACACTTAACTGCAAGGGAGGCTGGGAAGTCAGGTGTAGCCCAGGAAGAACAGGTATGCCCAGTGAGACACGTATGCCCAGGAGGAAGAGGAAACAGCTTGGTGTGAGCGTCTAGGTAGTCTCTGCCACACATACAAAACATCAAAAGGATTTATCCTTGTAAAGAATAGAGAGAAAAATGTTCCCCACAGAGGAAGTGATAGTGCAAAGGCTCTGAGGTTGAGAACGAGTTTGGCCTTTTTGAGGAACTGAAATAAAAACAGGATATCTGAAGCACAGAAGCAAGAGATCAAGAAATGTCAGAGAGTGGTGGACAAATGAGAAGGGGCCATATAAGAGAGGGGTTTGGGATTTGAAAACTTCTTATTGTTGAAAAATATACATAATACCAAAGTTACCATCTTAATTATGTTTAAGTGGCACTAAGTATGTTAACATTATAGTGCAACCATCACCACCGGCTATCTCCATAACTTTCTCATCATCTCAAACTGCAACTCTGTACCCATTAAAACACTAACTCCCCATTCCTCTCTCCCTGCAGCCCCTGGTAACCTCTATTCTACTTTCTGTTTCTCTGAATTTGGCTACTCTGCGAACCTCAAAAGAGGAATCATACAATTTTTGTCCTTTTAGGTCTGGCTTATTTCACTTAGCGTAATGTCTTCAAGATTCATCCCTGTTGTAGCATGTGTTAGAATTTTCTTTTCTTTTTTAGGCTGAATAATACTCCATTGTGTGGATATATGACATTTGGGGTTGATTCATCCAGTGATAGACATTTTAGGTGTTTCCATCTCTTGGCTATTGTGAATAATGCTGCAATGAACATGGGTGTACAAATACCTGTTTGAGTCATTGCTTTCCATTTAAGACTATATCCAGGAATGGAACTGCTGGATCCTATGGTAATTGTATGTTTCAGTTTTTGAGGAACTGCCATACAGTTTTCCACAGTGATTGCACCATTTTACATTTCCACTAGCTGTTCACAAGTCTTCCAGCTTCTTCACATCTTTGCCAACACTCATAAGTTTCTGAATGTGTGGGTTTCATAATAGCATCCCAGTGGATGTGAAGTCTGTGGTTTTGATTTGCATTTCTCTAATGGTTAGAGATATTGAGCCTCTCTCCACGTGCTTAATGGGTATTTGTGTGTCTTCTTGGGAGAAATGTCTATTCAAGTCTCTTGCTCATAATTAAAATTTTTTTTTTTTTTTACTGTCATTGAGGGGTTTGAGATTTTATTCTAAGCTCAATGGAAAGGCATTGTCAATCAATCCAGATGTCAGTCAAGCAGAGGAGTGACATGAGCCAATTTTCTTTATATTTCTTTCTTTCTTTCTTTCTTTTTTTTTTTGAGACAGAGTCTCACTCTGTTGCCCAGGCTGGAGTACAGTGGCACAGTCTTGGCTCACTGCAACTTCTGCCTCCTGGGTTCAAGCAATTCTCCTGCCTCAGCCTCCCCAGTGGCTGGGATTACAGACATGCACTACCGTGCCCAGCTAATTTTTGTTTTTTAGTAGAGACGGGGTTTCACCATGTTGGCCAGGCTGGTCTCGAACTCCTGGCCTCATGTGATCCACCCACCACAGCCTCCCAAAATGCTCTCATTACAGGCATGAGACACTGAGCCTGGCCCAAATTTTCATTTTAAGAAGAAGTGATTCCCCTTCTGTGTGAATTTCTCCAGCAATACCAGCTCCTGGGTCCCGCCAACAGAGTGGGCCGATGGTGAGGATACCGTCAACCCTAAAAGTCCTTGTTCACAACGGGCAACAATCAAGTGTAATTAGAGCAGAAGGCCTGAATTCTATTTTTCCTCCCACAAGCTTCAGCAGTGACTCATGCTTCTGCATTGCTACTGTGGTGCTCCATATTTCCCATGCTCCGGGGCTCCAGTGGGGTGGGGGCATGTGGTTGGGATTAAAGGCAGCTCTGAGCAGGTAAAGGGTCACTCCATCTCCAGGGCCCACTTAGTCCTCAAAGGGCCTGACAAGGGCAGAGCAATTAGTGAAAGTCGTGATATTGGTTGCCGGAGGTATGGCAGAGACACCTGTTCCTTGGGAAGCTGGTGACATTGCTAATTCATTTCACACCAGCCTGACAGGAACAGCCTGACTGAAGCAAGCGGTCAGTGATGAAGAAGAAATAGGATTTCCCCTCTCCCGAGAGAGCCAGTTCCCTCACCCTGATGTCCTTATTTCAGTTTCACACAGCTTGATAAGTAAAGCTAGAACTCAGTATTAGGATTAACATGGCCATTTTATTATTTATTTATTTATTTTTGGAGACAGGGTCTTGCTCTGTTGCCTAGACTAGAGTGCTGTGATAGGATCATGGCTCACTGCAGCCTCCATCTCCTGGTCTCAAGTGATCCTCCCACCTCAGCCTCCCAAGTAGCTGGGACTACAGACACACGCCACCATGCCTGGCTAACTTTTTAATTGTTTTGTAGAGATAGACTCTCCCTATGTTGCCCAGGCTGGTCTCAAACTCCTGGGCTCAAGCAATCCTCTTGCCTCCTCCTCCCAAAGTACTGGGATTACAGGCATGAGCTACTGCACTCAGCCTTTACATGGCATTTAAAAAATTTTGTCAGTTTTTTTTGGTACTTTTTCTTCCTCCCAGACATTCTTGTTTGTCCACTGAAGCAGAAGTTCTCAAACTTCACTGCATCAGAACACCCAAAGGACCCGTTAAAACACAGAGC
Organism: Homo sapiens; assembly: GCF_000001405.40. NCBI lineage: Eukaryota > Metazoa > Chordata > Mammalia > Primates > Hominidae > Homo > Homo sapiens. The sequence continues at coordinate 14,382,612 of NC_000010.11, read as the reverse complement.
ACTGGGCTGAGCCCTGCAAAGCTTCTATTCAGTGGATCTGGGATGGGTTGAAGAATTCAAATGTCCAGCAAGTTTGCAGATGCTGCTGCTGCTGCTGCTCTGGCCCACTCTTTGAGAAACACTGTGTGAAAACAATCAGTGTAACTCTGTGGGGTCATGAAATAAGCTAATTTAGGGTCCGTAACATAGCAGTGATGGCAGCCACTGTTTCTACAGCCTGGACATAGACTGCCTACCTCTCTCAGTAGGGTTTCCTTCTGTACTGCAGTGTGCAAGGGCGTGTGGGGGTGTATGTGTCAGAACACAGACACGTGAGCTCATAACCTCCAAGAATTCTTCAAACACCACTGCTTTTCTAAGCAGAAGCAGCAGGTGGGAAGTCCCTGGCGCTGTTACAGCTGGGGGGAAACCACTTATTGTTTTTCTATTGTTTCTTTCATGTGATCAAAAGGAAAAGTGAGATTGTTTCTCTTACTCAGGCGTGCATGGGAATTAACACTCCTTAAAACCTGTGACTTCATTCAGTTCATTAAATACATGTTAATTGAACATCTGCTTTATGCCACTCTGTTTCACGTGCTGGAGACAGAGCAGTGAACAAAACAGAGTAAGTTCCTGATCAAGTGGAACCTTTTTTTTCTGGTGGCAGAGAAAAGAAAGAAACATACAGAAAAGTAAATGTGTAAATGTGTTGTATGTCCATGGCCAATAGATGCTATGGGGGGAATTACTCTGTGTGTGTATGTGTGTGTGTGTGTGTGTGTGCGTGCATGTGTGCATGCATAGTGGTCAGGGAATTATCTCCAACAAGGTGACACTTGAGCATAGGCTTGAAGCAAGTGAGGAAAGAAGCCATATGGAGATCTGGAGGAAGAGTGCTCCAAGCAGAGGGAACAGCAAGTGCAAAAGCCCTGAGGTGAGAGCATTCTTAGCATTTCCAGAATAGCCAAGAGGCAGGTATGGCTGGTGTAGGGTCATGAGGAAGAGGAGATGGGAGAGATGAGTTCAGACAGGTGATCTGGGCCAGATTGTGTAGGACCTCGTAAGCTATTGTAAGGATTTAGTGGGAGTCACTGGAGGATACTAAGCCTAAGAGGGTGTTTACATATTGGAAGGATCTTCCTGCTGCTGAGTGGAGGGTGAATATAAGGCAGTAATGGTGGAATCAGGAAGCCTAGTTAGGATGCAGTTTCAATAACCAAGGTGAAACTTGGTTTGAGGATGTAGCAGTGAAGGTGGTGACAAGGGGTAGAATTTTGGAGATAAGTTGAAGGAAGAGCCAACAGGGTTTACCATATTTTGGATGGGAGATAGGAGATAAGAGATCAAGGCTGATGCCAGGTTATTTGATCTGAGGACCTGGAAGAATGGAGTTGCCATTTACCCAAGACAGGGAAACTGGGAGAAGCAGTAGGCCTGTGGTCTCGCTGCATGCCCAGGAGAAAAAGGAAATACAGGGCGGAAAGGAAAGCAATATTGTAGGATACCAAAGAAAATCACTCAGTCCTACAACATCAGCAGAGCTGATGTTTGTCTCTTAATGTTTTCACAATTCTTTCCATTCCTTATTCATCTCCACTCATATTTTACAAATAGTAATAATTAACAATGTGGAGTGGTTAATATATGACAGGCACAATGAAAGGCATTTAACACACATTATCTCATCGAATCCTGGCAACAGCCCAGGATAAAGATGACAGAAGTGTAGACAGGTTAGGTAACACCCCACTAGTAAGTCAGGGAGCTGGAATTTTACCTGGGACTTTCTCACTCTGAAACTCCTGGTTGTTTCCTACTTTCCTACTGTGCTACCTGCCTTTGCATTATTAATATTTTTCAGATCTCCACATTGCCCAGAGATCTCTAACTCTTACAATTTAGGGGATCATGTCTCACCTTCCACAGTATCTCACAAGTTCAGGGATGACAGACATTCCTTGGCCCATCTGAAATAATAGAGACCAGAAATAAACATGCACTTTCCAGAATGAAGTTTATTATTATTATTAAGATGGAATCTTGCTCTGTCGCTCAGGCTGAGTGCAGCAGTGCGATCTTGGCTCACTGAAACCTCCGCCTCCCAGGTTCAAGTGATTCTCATGCATCAGCCTCCAGCGTAGCTGGGATTACTGGTGTGCACGACCACGCCCAGCTAATTTATTTTATTTTTTTAGTAGAGATGGGGTTTCACCATGTTGGCCAGGCTGGTCTCGAACTCCTGATCTCAGGTGATCCACCCACCTCGGCCTCCCAAAGTGCTGGGATTACAGGTATGAGCCACTGCACCCGGCCAAAGTTTATTAATACCATGTTGCAAAAAGGGCAAGTGCCCCCAGAAAGCCATAGAGGGCCTTATCAAACAAAGCAAGCAGGAGGTTATTCTAGGATTTGGGGAAACGATGGGATTTAGCTAAAATTCAAATGAAGCAGTGTTTTGATGAGCGCAAAGCAGGGCTGTGTGTAATTAACATCAGGCTGAGCTGGGGAGCTGACTCAGGGCTCCGTTTCCTTGGAAACTACAGGGTTAAGAGAAATGTAGAATATTGTGCTTCCAAACTCCTTATCTGAAGCACTGCACCTGCCTTGGAAATCTAGGCTGCTTCTCTGTGTCAAAGAGACCCCAGATATTTCAGGTAGGAATGGGATCTTCCATTCTTACTGATAGGATTTTGAAGAGGAAACTGTCAGGAGGTCTGTAATTTTTGAGAATACGGTTTCTCAATGCCATGTCTTCTTGTTCAACCACAAAGGCAGTTTGGTACAGGTTCACAGAATGCAGCTGCTCCTGGCCCTTGCTCCTGGGGCAGCTGTCTTCCTTCCCTGCCAAGGTTGCCAGGCAGTGACCCCTGTGTCTCCTCATCCCCATAAGAAGCACTAATGTTGGGCTGCTGCATTGTACCACTTGCTGGAGTATTTGCAGTCACGGCATGGAATTCGAGTACAGTGCTAACTATGGCATAAGGCTGGGATAGTAAGACGACTGTCTTTCAAAAGCATTCCCTGCATCATTCCCAATTGTTCATCGGCCATGGCTTACCTAGTGCAATTTTCTCAAGCTTCTCTCTCCTCCCTGTGACCTTCTCCCAGCTCTCCTCCTCTCCCCCATTTTGCAGCTTCTTAATTGTTTCTCTCCACAAAAGAATCTCAAATGTGCCCTACTTTTGTATGCAGAGCAGTTCTACTCCTTTCCTTTCTCTTTCTAAATTGGGACCTGGTGGCTGGTGTCCCTCTCACCTTCTGCGGGTAAAGTGGTGGCCAGGGACCTGGCTAGCCTTGGGTTCAAGGGCTTGTGGGAAGGGAGGAGATGGAGGCCGACGAGATGATAGAAGAGGCTCTTTGTGCTATGCTCAGGGCAAAGCCCACCTCCTCTGATAGCTGTGATGCCATTGGGATAGTTTTTGCAGGTGCAGAGCAGGCGGGGGACCTGTTTGTATTTAGATTATGGATGCTTTTCTTAGAGTTAAGATCACAAGGCATTGAAAAGATTAACTTGTGTTAGAATCGATGGGCCTAGAATGAATACACAGTGTCTTTTATTGTGAAGACACAGGAGGAAGGAAATGAAGAGGCTACTGGAGCAACAGTGTCACCTGTCACTGAACAGGGACCCAGAACCCCTCATGCTTGGACACATGCTTTAAGTAATGCTGTAACTATACCAGACCAATCTGGCTCGGCTTTTATGTAACAAAGTTGTCAGTTGTTTTTCAGTTGCCATGGGCTGCCCCCAGGTTGAAGGTCACATACCCTGTGCGTGTGCAGATGGACCAAGCATCCAACCACAGGCGGAACCTAAGTGTTTTGACAGATTAGCAGGACTGAATTAAGAAGCGGACACCACATGACAGGATCCAAGATCCAATCAGATTGAGCCCTTGTGTCACTCCATGGCAAGATCCAATCAGATCATGCCTTCCCAGCATCATGTCATTGCAAGACCCAATCAGATCTTGCCTTATTACCCTATGCTTATAAAACCCCACAGCCCCAAGCTCAAGGAGACAGATTTGAGCATTTCCTTTGGTCTCCTTTCTAGTTAACTTCCAATAAAGCTTTTCTTTTCTCAAAAGCTGGTGCCGTGGTACTAGCTTTTATGCACATCAGGAAATGAGCCCTTCGATTGCTTGGTAAGAGTGCAAGAAGTCAAACCTGGCTGTGGGTCTACCTCATCTACACAAGGGAACAAATAATGAGCTCATGTCACAGAGCTCTTATTTATTGAACAAAATTTTTATTGATTGCCTACTTGTGCCGGACACTGTGCAAGGCTATGGGCAGAAAATGAATAAAATATTAATGTTACTGGAAAGGGGTCCTAATCCAGACCCCAGGAGAGGGTTCCAGGATCTGGTGCAAGAAAGAATTTGGAATGAGTCCATAAAGTAAAGTGAAAACAAGTTAATGAAGAAAGTAAAGAATTAGAAATGGCTATTCCACAGGCAGAGCAGCAGCTTGGGCTGCTGGACTAAGGATACTTATAGTTATTTCTTGATGTTATGCTAAACAGGGGGTGGATTATTCATGCGTTTTCCAGAAATCATGGGCAATTTCTAGAGCTGAGGTTTCCTCCCCTTTTTAGACTATATAGGGGAACTTCCTCACTGTTGCCGTGGCATCTGTAAACTGTCACGGAGTTGGTGGGAGTGTCTTTTACTATGCTAATGCATTATAATTAGCATATAATAAGCAGTGAGGATGACCAGGTCACTCTTGTTGCCATCTTGGTTTTGGTGGGATTGGTTAACTTCTTTACTGCAAGGTTTTTAGGACCTGTGTCTTGTGCCGACCTCCTATCTCATTCTGTGACTTAGAATGCCTAATGCCTGGGAATGCAGACCAGCAGGTCTCAGCCTTACCTTACCCAGCCCCTATTCAAGATAAAGTTGCTCTGGTTAAAAGGCCTCTGACATTGACATGCCCTAAAAGAGCATAGCCTAGTGGGAGAGACAGACAAGAAAATAAACAATTTAAATAAAATGCACAATTAAAGCAAAGTAAAAAAAAAAAAAAAGAAACTTTAATAGCATTTTGTCCAGGACAACTGTACATCAGAGAAGGAATGTAACTTATTCCGGACTAAAAATTCAGTGCAGCCAGGAGAAGAAGTTTGGATTGAGACATTACAGATAAACAGGAAGCGAGGGGGAAGAGGTTCAGAATATTCCAGTGGTCCTGGTAGCAGGCATGGCTGGGGTGGAGAATGCACATGAGAAAATGGCTGGAAACGAGCTGGAGAAACAAGCAGGGGCAGCCGGTGAAAGAGCATGTTTGCAGACTGAGGAGCCTGCAATTGTGGGGAGTCATCAAACTTCTAGAGCTGCTTTTTTTGAAGACAGGTGTATTAGGATTCTCTAGAGGGACAGGACTAATAGTATAAATGCATATATGAAAGGGAGTTTATTAAGGAGTATTGACTCACGTGATCACAAGGTGAAGTCCCACAATAGACCATCTGCAAGCTGAGGAGCAAGGAAGCCAGTCCGAGTCCCAAAACCTCAAAAGTAGGGAAGCCGACAGTGCAGCCTTCAGTCTGTGGCCGAAGGCCCGAGAGCCCCTGGCAAACCACTGGTGTAAGCCCAAGAGTCCAAAAGCTGAAGAACTTGGAGTCCAATGTTTGAGGGCAGGAAGCATCCAGCACAGGAGAAAGATGAAGACTGGAAGACTCAGCCAGTCTAGTGCTTCCACGTTCCTCTGTCCGCTTTTATCCTAGCTGTGCTGGCAGCTGATTCGATGGTGCCCTCCCGGATTGAAGGTGGATCTGCCTCTCCCAGTCCGCTGACTCAAATGTTAATCTCCTTTGGCAACACCCTCTCAGACACACCCAGGAACAATACTTTGTATCCTTCAATCCAATCAAGATGACACTCAAATTAACCATCACAATAGGGATGTCTCTGGTTCCCCCACCCCCACCCTTTTGTTTTTTTTTTGAGACGGAGTTTCGCTCTTGTTGCCCAGGCTGGAGTGCAATGGCACGATCTCGGCTTACCACAACCTCTGCCTCCCGGGTTCAAGCGATTCTCCTCTCTCAGCCTCCTGAGTAGCAGGGATTACAGGGATGTGCCACCACACCCGGCTAATTTTGTATTTTTAGTAGAGATGGGGCTTCTCCATGTTGGTCAGACTGGTCTCGAACTCCCGACCTCATGTGATCCACCCGCCTCGGCCTCCCAAAGTGCTGGGATTACAAGCATGAGCCACCACGGCCACTCTGGTTCCCCTTTTTATATCCACCAGACCTTGCTCAATAAGCATTAAAGTGAACTAAGATGATTGAAGTGATCCCATTTGTCCTATAGGAAGATCATTCTAGATGTATGTAGATGAGGTACCAGCGGCAGGAAGACCAGTTAGGAGGCAATTTCAAAAGTCCAGTTTCAGGCTCGTGGCAGAATTGGAGAGGAAGAGGGAAATGAAATCCTAAGAAAGCACATGCAAATAGCCAACAATGTAACTGCCCAGTGGGTTCAGAGCTGGTTCATCAAGACAGGGGATCTGCAATAGAGAAAGAGGAATTCATGCAGAGCCGGCTGTGAAGGACTGACTGGAGTTTTATTATTACTCAAATCAGTTTCCTTGAACATCCAGGGAACAGAGTTTTTAAGGATAACTTGGTGGATGGGGGGAAACAAGTGAGCCAGGAGGAGTGCCGACTGCTCAGAGATGAAATCATACGGAGTTGGAGCTGTCTTCTTATGCTGAATCAGTTCCTGGGTGGGGACCACAAGATCAGATGAGACAGTTTATTGATCTGGGTGGTGCCAGCTGATCTATCAAGTGCAGGGTATCTAGAGCACTGATCTTAGGAGCAGTTTAGGGAGGGTCAGAATCTTGTAGCCTCCAGCTGCATGACTCCTAAACCATAATTTCTCATCTTTTGGCTAATGTTGGTCCTACAAAGGCAATCTAGTCCCCAGGCAAGAAAGAGGTCGGCTTTGGGAAAGGGATGTTATCATCTTTGTTTTAAACTATAAAGTTTCTCCCAAAGTTAGTTCAGCCTACACCCAGGAATGAACAAGGACAGCTTGGAGGTTAGAAGCAAGATGGAGTCGTTTGTTAGATATCTTTCACTGTCTCAGTCATAATTTTGGAAAGACAGTTTCAAGAATAGCCTTGAAATACTTGGGAAATACTTGGTGGGACAGCCAGGGCCTCACTGATGGGGACGGAGACCGATCCCTGGACTTAACCTGGAGATAGTTGGTGACGTTGACCTTGGGAATGTGGAAGGTTAGATATAGACATTCCTTGTTTTAAGAATGCAGGAAATGGCTCAATCTAGAACTTTTATTACTTTTCAAATTAATGATGGCACTCCAATCTCCCTGGGCCACTGAGAAGATTAATGGAAATGATGCAATAGCAATGACTGCAGTAAAAGCCAAGACTGGATAGTTGTCTTTATCATCAGGAAGTGGATAGGAGCTTTTATGGTCAATTTCCTTTCTTGAAACAAGCTTAAGAGCAGACAGTGAAATCTGACTTCAGAGGGGGTTCCCGGAGAACTGCTGCCACGTTCATCTAAATGACACTTCAGATCTGATTATTAATTTGGGTCAAACTATGGAAAGCTTGTATGGAAGCTCTGGTGTTCCAGGCTTCAGGAACTTTGATTTAGAGTACCATCAGGGCTCATAGAGTCTTTTCTTTTCTTTTTTCTTTTCATTTTCCTTTCTTTTCCTTTCTTTCTCTTTTCTCTTCTGCCTTCTCCTTTCCCTTTCCTTCCCTTCCCTTCCCTTCCCTTCCCTTCCCTTCCCTTCCCTTCCCTTCCCTTCCCTTCCCTTCCCTTCTCTTCCTGCCATGGAGTCTCACTCTGTTGCCCAGGCTGGAGTGCCATGGTGCAGTCTTGGCTCATTGCAACCACCTCCTCCTGGTTCAAGTGAGTCTCCTGCCTCAGCTTCCTGAGTAGCTGGGATTACAGGTGCTTAACGCCACACCTAGCTAATTTTCTTGTATTTTTAGTAGAGATGGGGTTTTACCATGTTGGCCAGGCTGGCCTCCAACTCCTGACCTCAGGTGATCCACCCGCCTCGGCCCCCCACAATGTGGGGATTTCAGGCGTGAGCCACCACACCCTGCCTTAGAGTCATCTTTTAATTGCCTCTTTCCAAGTTCCTACATTACCTGAGAGATAGGCTGCTTTGTCTTGATGAGACGTGCGTTTCGAAAGACATCAGACTGCCTCTAGCATAACACTGGTATTACTAGCCAAGAATATGGGCACTGGGAGAGTGGCATGACCTCCCTAGACCTCACAACTACCGTGGGAGGAAGCCATGAGGACTGAGGACCTGCTTGTTGTCCCGGCTTCTTGTGCTCCACCTGCAGACACTGAACTGCTATTGGAACTTCCTTTACCAACACCACCGTGGGGCTTCACTGTAGTGCTCATGGCCATTGTCATCTTCTTATGGTCTTCCTTTTACTACAACAACATGTCCTGCAGAGAAATTATACCTAAGACTAGAGAGACGGTATAAGCATGATAAAATAAAAAGATCAACCATTAGGTCACTAGAGAAGTTAAATAATTTGAAAGTGACTGTCGAGGCCAGGGCTGCATGTCTCACACCAGTAATCCCAGAAATTTGGAAGGCTGAGGCTGGTGGATTGCTTGAGCCCAGGAGTTCGAGATCAGCCTGGGCAACATGGTGAAACCCTATTGCTACAAAAAAAAAAAAAAATTACAAAAATTAGATGGGTGTGGTGGAATGTGCTTGTAGCCCCAGCTACTTGGGAGGCTGAGGTGGGAGGATCATGTGAACCGTGGGAGGTCAAGGCTGCAGTGAGCTGAGGTTGCGCCACTGCACTCCAGCCTGGGTGACAGAGTGAGACCCAGTTTAAAAAAAAAAATTATTGTCATTTGGCCTTGATGTCAAATACAAACTAACCAGGAAATCATGGCTTTGGTGGAAGAGGAACAATGGCATGCTATTTATTTGCTCACCTGTTGAGCTGCAGTGGCCAGGTGCTCTGATCACACCCAGCAAATGAGTTTACCTCTAGGTGTGCGATGCAGCCCCATGACTTCTATACTGGCATGCAACAGAGCCTGTGAGAGCTCTTTCACACTGTTACTGCTAGAGGCTGGGGCAGATGATGGAGGTGGGCCCCTGGACACTCAGGAAAGCTCTCTGCTCAAAATGATCTCCCCCACCCACCCTGACCTAAAATATCCACGATAGAGCTCCTTCTGTTCATGTTAGACACTGTCTTTTCTCATTTAAAATGCAACAATGAAAGACACCCTCGATGGTAGCAGGGACGGACAGGGGTGGGGCAGTGATAGCACCTTCTTGTGCGTGGGTTTCTACACAACGACAGCTTCTTCTGTGACGACTGAGATGAGGTTGCTTGCAGGAAATACCTTCCTCATTTCTGTGTTCATTCATTCAGCAGATATTCAGGAGCCTACTGTGTGCCCTGGCGCTGCTTTAGATGTGTGGGATATGGTGGTAATCAAAACAGATACGTCTGTGCCCCCACAGAGCTCCCAGTCTAGTGTGGGGAGGGGATGATGGAGACATAAATATATAAAATGAACAGTTTACGTAGACTGTGCTGAGAATTTTGGAGAAAAAGCAGAGGGAGGTAAAGTTTCCAATGAGATGGGGATTAGTGGTGCCTTTTTTAAGAAGGATGGTCGGGAAAGAGCCACTGTCTGAACAGGATGCACAGACTGGCTTTTGTGTGGTGGAGGAGGTTTGAGCTGCTAATTTAGGAGCTGCTCAGACAGGTGGCAGAGACACTGAGCTCATGAAAGGAATCTGTTGGGGGCACAGAAGGATCCTGGTGCCCTAGTCCATGGCCTTGCCCCAGCACATTTGCTGAGGTCCGGAAAGGCAGCTTCTGTCTGTCACTGTTCCAGCCCATGGACAGGAAAGTGCAGATGGCCAGGGAGAAACGAAGACCTGAAAGAGGAGAGCTGTGTGATTAGGAGGCTGGGAGTTGTCCCAGGCCGGGGCACAGGGAGCACAAAAACCCTGAAGGTGGGTCTCTGATGGCAATGGAGGAGCAGCGAAGGGCTGGTGTGGTAGGGGTGCAGGGCCCAGGGAGAGTGGCAGCAGAGGAGGCCAGAGGGCCCAGGGAGGTCAGATCACGCTCTGAATGGAACAGGAACTGTTACAGGCTTTGAGCAGAGAATCCACATAGATTAAACTGAGACTGTTTATCACTGTAGCCACTGGGTTTAGGATGGCGTGGGAAGGGCACGGGAAAATGGTGGGGCCAGCGGGGAGCCTGTGGCCATAATTCAGGTGACAATGACCGTGGGGATGCAGCAAAGGGAAACATGCAAAGAAGGATTTGGACTCAAGGACCCGGAAGCCAAGAAGTGCTGCCATCTTCATAACTTTGTCTATTCCCAGTTTTGCCCCAAATCGTTCTGCCTCCTTAAGACGCATCTGACTCCAGAACCACCTGCAAGTCCACGGGAAGGGTCACCCACTACTCACCCTGCTGTACCAGGCCCTGGGTCATGGGCCAGACTACCTCACCATCCTGTGTGCACTCCTGCAGCAGCCGTGACTTGCAGGGACCTCACTGCCTCATGCAGAGGGACAATGGTGCTTCGGGCTTGTTTGCAGCGGGTTGGAGGCATTGACTCTCCTAAGCTCTTTCTAGTCCTTCACAGCTCTACTTTCTGTGTGACTATGGCTAAGCTGCTAAATATATAAGCACTGGCTTTTGTGGAATGGAGGATGTTTCAGCTGCTAGTTTTGGTGCCTGTTCAGACAGGTGGCAGAAGCTCTGAGCTCACAAATGGCATCTGTTGGGCACAGAAGGGTCCTAGTGCCCTGGTCTGTGGCCTCAGCCCAGCACATTTGCTGAGATCCAGAGAGGCAGCTTCTGTCTGTCCCCTCTCCCTACCCGTGGACAGGAAACCACAGATGGCCCAGCAATTTGATACGTTGCAGTGTTTCCAAAGCTCCCAGAGTGGGACGTGAAGCTGAATTGCACGCTTCCAGGAAAGTGCCCCCAATGTGGAAAACCTGTCATTTTGTCTCTAGATCCATTACAAGCTTTGTAGTGGCACAAACCCCGGGCAGAAATGGCCTTTTTATAAATGCCATGGAAATCACTGGGTTGAGATGCCCTATGTTTGTAGAAAGGAGCAAAGTCAGAGTGATTTCTCACACCTGGTACCCACCCTAAATCTACTGTGGATGTGAGAAAATATCCCAGTGACAATGAGGTAATTTTCCCTATCTTCATGGTCTATTTCCTTAGAGAAAATTGTTTTTCCAATGCTCACCAAAGAACTTTCTTCAGATTTAGTACTTTTTTCTTTTTTTTCTTTTTTAAATTTAGGAATGCCATGCCACAATAGCTACCAAAATGACAAAGTTGTTTACACTTTCATGCAGAAATCCCACTTTTGGAGTTTATTTTATAGATTCACTTTCGTGCATATGAAATGTCATCTGCATCATTGTTGGTAATGACAAAGGACTAGTTAAGAAAAGCAGTGGCCGCATGTGCATAACGGCATACTACGCCCCTGGAAAAAGGAATTGGAACACTCTCTTTTTACTGACGTAGTAAGATTGCTAGGATATGTTCAGTGGAAAAAAAGCAAGAAGCAGAAATAGAGGAAAATATGCATATATTCATATTTGCTTGCATATGTATAAAGCAACACTGGAAGGTAGAAAAAAATAGTTCCTTTGGGAGACAACAGAAATGGAATGGATGAAAACATGGGTGCAAGACCCTCTGTGTATTCATTTATTAGAGTTTTGGTATTAGTCATGCAAATGTATTCTCCCAGCTTTTTTTTTTTTTTTTTTTTTTAATATGGAAAGACATACTCAACCATGTCTAGACCTCAGTGATCACAGATTGACTTCTGACAGTGGTGCAAAGAGTTTTGAGAATCAAGGAATTTTTGAGCACCTCCCTGTGTTAGGTAGGAGCTGAGAAGGGGCTGCAGAGGGAGAGATAGAGACCCAGGACCTACCCAAAGGTGCTTGCAGCCTGGTGGAGGAGACTGGTGAGCAAACTATTGGTATCTTAGTTCATTTTTTTTGCCGCTATAACAGAAAACCTGAGACTAGGTAATTTATAAAGAAAAAAAATCTACTTCTCACAGTTCTGGAGGCTGGGAAGTCCAAGATCAAGGCAACAGCATGTTTGGTGTCTGGTAAGGGTGCAGTCTCTGTTTTTAAGATGACATCTTGTTGCTGGATCCTTTGGAGGAGAGGAGCACTATGTCCTCACATGGTGGAAGGCAGAAGGACAAGAAGGATGTATTCCTTCTGTTTTCCCTGTAGTAGCCCTTTCTTCACAGCCTTTTGAGAGTATCAACTGATATAGTGCCTGGGAAGCAATTAGCACAGTGTCTGGTGCTCTGGTGCTTAGTAACTGTGCAATAAATATTGAGCTTTTTTTTTTTTTTAGTGGCATTAATCCATTCATGAAAGCAGATCCCTCATGACCTAAACACTTCCACAAAGGCCCCACTTTCCAACACTGTTGCATTGGAGATTAAATTCCCAACACAAGAATTTTGGGGGACTCATTCCAACCATAGCAGCTGGTGATGATGTATTGAGAGCCAAATAAGGGGGAAGCACAGAGGCTGTGGATCTCAGAGAAGAGACAGCTGCTGGGGAAAGGGGAGAAGAGGGTCATCAGAGCAATCCAAAGGAGAATGGGGCTTGACAAAGAGGTAGGAGGGAAGAAGTTGGAGAAGACAAAGGAGGCACAGAAGCTCAACCAGGCAGAGAGAAAAGGCCCAGAGTGTGGGTAGGGTCCAGTGTGCTTAGGTAAATGCAAGGAGTTAAACATGATTGAAATGGAGGGGATGGGTGTCGATGTGGGACCGGTGGATTGTCAAAGACAGAAGAGAAGTGACCCGACTATAAAGTCTTATTATTCTGTGACATGCTGCTCATTGTGCTACCAATATCCATTCTCTCTACTCAATCTCTCCTTTTTGCTCTGTATATGACCTCTAAGAATAAAAACCAGGTATCTCTGCCTCCCTTGCAAATGGGTATGGCCCATGTGATGAAATCCTGACCAATGGGCTGTAAATGGAAGTGATGTGTACAATTTTCAGGAAGCGTCCTTCACGGAGAGGGTGTGTCTGTCTCTTTCTTTCCCCTCTCCTGCTAGCAGGAATGCAGACATGATGGCTGGAGCTATAGAAGCTGTCTTGAACCAGATCAAAGACACTTGTAGAGGTGGGAAGAGCAATGAGACCTAAGTGCCTACATTTACATAAGAGAGAAATAAATTTCTTACCTACTTTAAGTCACTACGAGGGTTCTTTTGTTCTTGGCAGCTAAATTCAATACTAACTAGCCTGGATTTTAAATTCCCCCTATTTATTATCCTGGGTGGCTTAGGGTTATGTTTCTAGTATATCTAACTTTCCATTAACAGCTCTATCTCAAGCTAGGAATCTTGAGTTTGTCTATAAATATTTTTGGTCTGCACAATGTTTTCGAGTTAATATCTTGTTCTTTCTGTTTGTTACATATATTTTGAATCCCTGAAAAGTCATTTCCTTTGAGCTTGATATCATGGGTTTAAATTGAGACAGAATGGCAAAGTGGCTCAAAGCAAGGGCTCCAATGCTAAGTTGCCAGGATTAAATTCTGTCTCTTTCACTTACCAACTGTGTGACCTCAGATAAATTAGTTATTCCTGATAAGTCTCAATTTCCTCATCCTTAAAATGGAAAAAACTAATAGCCCTTTCTTCACAGCCTTGTTGAGAGTATCGACTGAGATAGTGCATGGAAAGCAATTAGCACAGTGTCTGGTGCTCAGTAACTGTGCAATAAATATTAACTACTGTTCAATCTAGGGTCTATATGTGTCTTCCATTTTTGAGAATTTCTAAGCACATGCTAACATAGTCTTATCAACATCATAATAATCCCTGCCCAGAATCTTGTAAGTAAGTAATTCCTCTCTATTTATAGGTACAAACAAGTGAAATTGTAATTACCACAAAGCATAAATTTAACTAGAACCAGATCTACTGACATTCCCAGATTAAACATAAGACATGTGAAAAGATGGTGTTGGTTATTGCGAGATTTATAAAGGCAAGATCTTGGTGTTATTCCCTTTTCATGGTTTCATCTACCTGGTAACAGGCAGGCACTGGAATGTTTGGCCTTACCTCTTGTGTTCCTGTTACAATCTACTTCCTTCCTGTCTGACCCCACTGGATGACAAACATTAGTGGAGGGTTGGCAAGGTTCTTTCTCCACTGGCCTCCATCATCATTAGACACCAAGTTACCTCCACCCAAGATTGGTACAATAAATGTGGAAAATGGTCCCTTCAGTCATTTACTCTCTTCGGTTAAAAAAAAAAAAAATGAAATGAGGCCAGGTGCAGCAGCTCACACATGTAATCTCAGCACTTTGGGAGGCTGAGATGGGCAGACTGCTTGAGCCTAGGAGTTTGAGACCAGCCTGAGCAACATGGTGAAACCCCATCTCAACAACACAACAAAAAAAATTAGCCGGGCATGGTGGTGTGCACCTGTAGTCCCAGCTACTCAGGAGGCTGAGGGTGAGAGGATTGCCTGAGCCTGGGGAGGTTGAGGCTGCAGTGAGCTGTGAATTGTGCCACAGCACTCCAGCCTGGGTGACAGAGTGAGACCCTGTCTCAAAAAAAAAAAAAAAAAAAAAAAAGAAAAAGAAAAAGAAAAAGAATGAGGCGAGAATAAAATATTCAGTATGGAATTGTATGGCTGCTCCACATGGATGTGTCTCAGAGCTAACATGCAGGGCTCAAGAACGGCTCTAATAGAAGATACATGTTGGATATTGCATCAGTTACCCCTGAATTTGGCAAAACTATGTGATAAAGGTGTTGAGTTGTGGAGTGAGACTGTCTGGATTCAAATTTCTGGACTGCCACTTTGTTTCTGTGTGAATTTGGGCAAGAACCATATCTGCAAGTGTGAATACCAACCACGCCCTCACATAGGACATGAGACTGCAGGCGAGGTGTTGTACCTGAGGTATGCACCTGGCATAGTGCCCAGTACTATGTGATAAACATGTGATAATCCCAGTGCTTTGGCAGGCTTAGGTGCGTGGATCATGAGGTCAGGAGATCAAGACCAGCCTGGCCAACATGGTGAAACCCTGTCTCTACTAAAAATACAAAAATTAGCTGGGTGTGGTGGCACATGCCTGTAATCCCAGCTACTGGGGAGGCTGAGGCAGGAGAATCGCTTGAACCAGGGACTCAGAGGTTGCAGTGAGCCGAGATCATGCCACTGCACTCTAGCCTGGCAACAGAGCAAGACTCAGTCTCAAAAAAAAAAAAGTGATAAATGTGTGCTGGAGGGAATAAGTGGCATCCTTCAAGGACAACTAAGGCTTCTCCTCCATGAGGGCTTCTCTGGGTACTTAGCCCTCATTTGATTGTTAGCTTTAATCCATTTGTTTCTTCATATGCACACAGTCTTTCTGTCCAAGTAGATTATGGGTCCTATAGTTTCTTTCTTTCTTCTTTTATTAATCTCAAGACTCCCCTGCAAAGCCTACATCAGTTTGTTTTGCTATGTAACAAACCAGCTGAACACTTAGTCATTTTGTACATTGGCAATTTGGGCTGGGCATGGCTGGGCAATTCTGGTCTTGGCTGGGCTCTGCAGATCTCAGCTGGGCTGGCTCATGTGTCTATGGTCAGCTGGAGGCCAGATGGGGAGGGCTGGCTTGTCAGGGCCTTATCTTGGATGCTGGATGGCTGGAGGCCTTTTCCACAGGGCACTTTGTCCTCCAGCAGCCTGGCTGGGGCCAGCTGATGTGCTGGCTGCAGAGTCCAAGAGCACCAAGACAGGACAAGTTGTGAGTTGCAAGCGCTCTTCAAGTCCCCACTTCTATCACGTTTGTCCACTGTCCTATCAACCCAAGCAAGTCACAGGCTAAGCCCAGAGTCAGCATGGGAGGGAACACCTGCAGGCATGGATGCCAGGAGGTGGGAGCAAATTGGGGCCGTTCCTGTCATAGAGTGCCGTAGCACCCCATAGAGTTTTCGTGACTGCTTATCACTTTTAGTGTTTATAATCTGGCCCCCTTTTCAAGCTGAGGATCTGTCAGAAACCAGAGTTTCCACTTCATTATCTGAGGCCAAGGTCCCAGTCAACCCTCTTGAGCTCCACAAACTCCACACCAGCAGCCAGGTGTGAGGTGCTATGCCTTTGGTTGGCTCCATCTCAGAGAAGAAGGGGTGTCCCTTTCTTTATAGGACATCCAAGGATCTGTGGTTCAAAATTTTGGGATACCATTCCCGTCATTGTTTGTGTGAATGCAGTTCCTTAATTGTGCAGTGCACAACTTGTGCAACCGTAAGTGTCAGTGCTGAAGCCTCAAGCAGAGTCTCTTTCTGGTGGATGTGAAGAATTTCCAACCCTACTGAGGAGCAAGGTGACAATTTAGGCAAGAAAGAAGGGGAGAGTTTGCACAGCCCAAATTCTTATTTTTTTTTAGGAGGAGTTTGGTCTTTAGGCCTCGTCTTTATCACCTGTAAACTGAGCAGCTCACACCAGAAACTCTCAAGTAAGTTTTCTTCCAGTTCTAATCTTCTCAGTGGTTCATGAAACATGAAACACCAATGAATACCACTCTAGTTGAGAGAGAAAGGAATGGAAAGGGAGCTAGCATTTATCTAAGGCTGAATAGACACCAAGCACTTAGTACATATTAACTCCTTCCATGTTCACACCCAAAACTCAGTGAGGTGGGTATGATTAGCCCAGGTTTTGCAGAAGAGAAAACAAGTTCAGAGAGGTTAAGCAACTTGCCTGAGGTCACACAGATGGTAAATAATAGGGCTAGGAGTTGAACCCTGGGATTTCTGGAGCCAAAGCCTTTCCTCCCTGCTGTGTTACAGCAGAGGCCAAGTGAATAGCAAACAACTTGTCTATTCCACTCTCCCCAAGTATTATTTTGCCAGATGCAGGTTGCCCATGGGGAACAGCAGTTGTTGACATAGGTGGGAACGTGGGCCTCTGCAGGTGACAATGCGCCCTGGGACAGCTGATCAGCTAGGCCATGGGGCACATCATCGGCTGAACGTCGACTCTGGGGAAAATCAGCTGTTTACTGGAGATAATAAAACAGGAAATATTTCAGCATTTGGGTATATGAGTTTTGGCAGGGAAAGATTTGATGACTTAATGATGAGTGCTAGAGGCTAATTTGAAAACAGCAGATATCTCTATCTACATCTAAAATAGTAGGCTGAGCTATTCAAATGGAGTATGCCAACAAGCTTGGAGCCGGTATTATTTAAATTGGTTGGGATAGAGGATGTTCAGTGGCAGATGATGGCTTTTCTTTTTTCTTTTTTTTTTTTTTGAGATGGAGCCTTGCCCCGTTGCCCAGGCTGGAGTGCAGTGGTGGGATCTTGGCTCACTGCCACCTCTGCCTCCCCGTTTCAAGCAATTCTCCTGCCTCAGCCTCCTGAGTTGCCGGGATTTCAGGCGTACACCACCATGCCTGGCTAATTTATTAGTATTTTTAGTAGAGATGGGGTTTCACCATGTTTGCCAGGCTGGTCTTGAACTCCTGACCTCAAGTGATCTGCCCACCTTGGTCTCCCAAAGTGCTGGGATTACAGGCGTGAGCCACCGCGCCCGGCCAGATGATGGCTTTTATTTCTATTTAGGATTAATGATATGGTGCCAGGTCTGTTCGGTCCATAGTCTGGCTGTGTGAGTGGTACCTCCAGAAGCCTCCATTGACCAGAGGTGGCTGTCATCCTCTCTAGCAGGGTCTTCTGTCTTTAGAAAGTGTCAGAGGAGAAGCTGGGTTCATTGGCAGCTCTGTCTGACCTCCTCAGCTCTGAGTGCCATTTCCTAATCTGCCTCTGGAATCTCTACAGCCAACTCTCCACTTCCTGAGGTCGGGAGGAGAACTGGGCCAATCTGCAGAGAACTCAGCATTTCACCTGGTGCTGTGATGTGCCAGGCTGGGCTTGGTGCTGGGGGTATAAAGATACATTAAACACCCTCCTCATCTTGGCCCCTCTTACACAATGGTGTGTCAGAGGAAAGCGGACAGGCAAGTTCAGGGTGACAAGCGGTGATTGGATAGAGCCATGAGTGGAGAGGTATAGGTGGTGACGGTAGCGATTGTTGACAGCTATCCTGGCTGGGAACGTGGGCCTCTGCAGGTGACAGTGTGCCCCGGGACAGCTGATCAGCTAGGCCATGGGGCATACCACTGGCTGAACGTCGACTCTGGGGAAAATCAGCTGTTTACTGGAGTTAATGAAACAGGAAATATTTCAGCATTTAGATATATGAGTTTCGGCAGGGAAAGATTTGATGACTTAATGATGAGCCCTAGAGCACTAGGCGATGGCAGCCCAGACATATGTCAGCCTGTATGGTGTTCTGCGGAGGCTGTCATTCCCATGAGGAGACAGGTAGAGGCGACACTGGGGCAGCCCTGGCTGGCAGCGGGTGGTCATGTCCTCAGGAGCCGTGGGGGCACTGGTCATTTGCCTACCAGGGTGCCAGAATTGTCACCAGGGCAGTCCTCTTCCTTCCACTATCCAGCCCACTCCAGCTGAATAGACCTTGTGGGGAAAGGAAGCCCAGAGTGGTTAGGATGGGGGCACACGATGGGCCTGGGCAGCAGCTCTGTACCAGGGTGAAAGCATAGGTGTGCTGGCCTTTTGACTTTGACCACATTTGTTGCAGCTGTACCTCGTGTGCAGGCTCAACATTGCCAGGGAGCAGTGTCTGGCCCACCTGGGGCACTGGAAGAGGCTTCCTGGGAGACAGCTGACGGATGACAAAGAAGAGGCGAGTGTATTCCAGGAGGAGAGACTGCCGAGGCAGTGCCATGGAGTTGAGCAGGAACTACGATTAACAGGGGATGGGAGGGAGGCACTGAGGCTCAGAACGCAGCAGCAGCAGCCTTGGGTGCCACTGTGGGGAACACCGAAGACTGTTGATGTTGGCATGCTCTGTAAGTACTTTACATAGCCATCAATAATTACCCCTTCATGAGAACTTGCTATGTGCTATCTAGTGCACTGGATGCTTCACAGACCTACTGAATTTTGGAAATAACCTTATAGTTAGGAATTATTGTTCTCCATTTTACAAGGGAGAAAACCAAAGTACCAAGAAACCAACTTTCTCCAAGTTATGCAGGTGACAAATAGAACAACCAGAATGTTTACCCAGGTCTGTCTCGAAAACTCACACACCAAGCCAGTTTCCTGTAGTACCTAAGTAGAAAAGGGCTGAGACTAGAAACCTCTGCTTACAGTGTGAATGGTGAATTTAAAGGAGACAAGATTGGGTACTTTTGTGCCCTGAGCCTCATGCCTGGCATGTCGTAGGCCCTTGTTAGGTGTTCATACAACAAAGAGTGACTGGTTGGGGGCTGCAGTTAGAAGGCAATCACGATAGTTCATGTGAGTGGAGAAGTCCCAAACTGGAGGGTAGTTTCAGGCATCTGGACAGATTTGAACGATATTGAGGGGGTGACATTTCTCTGGCCTTGACACCTGAGAGGTTTATGAGGGACCTTGGCTATCACCAGGTGCCTGTGGGGCACCCAAGGGGAAATGTGTGTCACCTGTTGGCTACTCAAACCTCAAGTGCATGGAGAGGTTGAGGCTGCAGAGAGAGACTTGGAGTCATCAGATATAATGTGAAAGCCCTATGTGGGCTGGGCATAGTGGCTCATGCCTGTAATCCTAGCGCTTTTGGAGACAGAAGCAGGAAGATGATTTGCGCCCAGGAGTTTGAGATCAGCCTGGGAAGCATAGTGAGATCCTGTCTCTACAAAAAATAAAAACATTAGGCAGGCATGGTGGCATGTGCCACCTATAGTCCCAGCTACTTAGGAGGCTGAGATGTAAGGGTGAAGGCTGCAGTGAGCAGTGATTAAACCACTTGAGCCTGGGAGGTCAAGGCTGCAGTGAGCAGTGATTAAACCACTGCACTCCAGCCTGGGCAACAGAGTGAGACCCTGTCTCTTTGAAAAATTTAAAAATGACGCATGAATACTGCATGTAAGTGTCCATGAAGAGGACCCTGGAAAGAAAGATCAGAAAGGTGGGAGGGAAGCTACCAGGAGAGAGGGTGAGAATGTTTTAAGAGAACGTGAGTGGCCAACTGTGGCTGCTGCAGAGAGATGGGGGCTTCCAGTCTGTCATGATGTCAGAGTCTGAGATGCATGCTGTCTGCTGGGCCCCACCTTAGCTTCTGCAGCCCCAGCTGGGTTCTTGGTAGCCTCTTGAGTAGCTACTGGGTTTTGCAGGAAAAGCAAACATGTAGAAAGCATGCATATCTAATTTTTTGAAAGTATCTCAGTTGGAGCCTCCTCTGACTCATCTGCTACATTTGGATGTGGTATGAGTATGTCTAAGATCTTTTACAGTTTGAGCATCCTAAGATTTAGGTGGAATCACAGCTTTTGGGGGAGAGTGGATCTTAAAATGTAACATTGATGCATTTGTCATGTTCTCTTAGTTACATTTGAGAAGGTGCTAGCCATCTGCCCTTCTATGAGGGTGCTCTTGCAAAGATCATCCTTCCTTAGCCACATTGTCTTGTCCTCACACTTGCACCTTATGACAGCCAAGAGGAGACTGGAAACTGGTAGAAGGTCTTGTGGTTAAGACTTGGGTTCAAATCCTGGCTGTTGCTTTGTACCACTGTGACCCTGGACATGTTGTTTAACTTCTCTGTCTGAATTTCTTCATCTATAAAATAGGTATAATCATGATAGCTAGCATGATTATATGCAAAACACTTTACATGAATTCCCTGGTGAGTCTTTGCAATGATTTAGGAACTTTTATTATCCCTCCTTTAGAATATCAGCTCCCTCAGAACAAGGGCTGTCTGCTTTGCTCAGTGCTGTAGCCCATTTAGGCTGCTATAATAAAGTACTGTAGACTGGGTGGATTTATTTTTCATGGTTCTAGAGGCTGGAAGTCTAAGATCAGTGTGCCAGCATGGTTGGGTTCTGGGGAGGGCAGTTGATCGTCTTCTTGTATCTTCACTTGGTGGAAGGACAGCAAGAACGCTCTCTGGAGTCCATTTTTTTTTTAAGGGGCTAATCCCATTTGTGAGGGCTCTACCTTCACGACCTAAATACCTGTCAAAGGCCCACCTCCAAATACTATCACACTGGGGGTTGAAACCTCAACACAGGAATTTTGCAGAGACAGAAACACTCAATGGTGTATTTCCAGGACCTAGAACTATATGTGACCCACAATGGGTGCTCAATATACATTTTCTGATTGAAAGAATGCCTGGAGAAATTGAGGCAGAGAGGAAAAGGTACATAGCTAGTGTATGGTACATTTTGAGCCAGGGCAGTGAGATATTGGAGCCAGAAATCAACCACCGTACTTTAGTCATAACTACCACATCTATACTGGCTATTCTTAGGGGATCTGAAAGGCCAAAACTATTCTGGACAATCATACAAGGCATATTTTCCTTTGTCATTCTCATCATTCTCATTCTCCCACAAGTGTGTGGTGGCATTTTCCAGAGGCTACATGATGTGTGATAACTCAACTGATTGAATGTAGAAGCAGATATGAGAATGCCAGCTGTTTTCTTTTCAGCTAGACATTTAAGAGTTTTTTGCAAAAATGTAAAACCATGCCACCCTTTTCAGTGAAGTGTGCTTGGATTAAAAATTATAGTTATTTGGATAATGTCGGGTTTTGTTATTATGTTAAATTAATAAGTAACTATTTAAAAAATTATCAGTTTTAATTTCTGTGACGGCACATCTTCAGATTTTCATACTGAGATTAAAAAACGTTTGGGAATGTGGCTGTATACCCTGAGGTGTAAATGTGGCATGTTCGTAAAGTGCTCTGACATCATCTGGCATGGCAGCTCCCCAGCCGTGGTGGTGGTGATAGAAATATAAATGGTGACAGCAGCAGCAGTGTGACAGTCACTGTGGAGGGAGATTGCTTTTCTGCAGCCATCCTTCTGGCATCTCCCAAGCTGGGTGGGACCCAGCTGAAGATCAGCAGAGAAACCAGCCATTGCTGAGAGCAAGACAGTCAGTGGGCATTTATTGGAAGATGTCTAGGTTCTTAACATTTCACTGTTATTTGGGCTTATGGGAGCAGAAGAATGACAAAATAAAGAGAAGTCCTCATCTCTGACCATAAGAAGCTTGACACAATTCCAGTAAGTCTTGGAATGAAAGGAGAGACATGTTTTCCTGTGTTTATACTATGAGTGCATTTATATTCCCTTCACAACCAACATACCTTGACATTGAAGAGCCAAGATGTGGGTGGGAGGCAGATGCTATGGTTTGTATGGATTTCCCAAAGTTTATGTGTTGGAAGCTTAATCCCCAATGCAGTGGTGTTGAGAGCTGGGACTGTTAAGAGGTGATTAGCTCATGAGGGCTCTGCACATATGACAGATTAATGCCATTATCATGGTAGATCATGGGAATGAGTTCCTGATAAAAGGATGAGCTTGGTCCCCTTTTCCTCTCTCTAGTTGTCTATCTCTCTTTCTCTCTCCCACTGTTTTGTGTGTGCACACATTTTCTTGGGCATATGTGCCCTCTTGCCCTTCCACCTTCTGCGATGAGATGATGTAGCAAGAAGGTTCTCACCAGATGCCAGCCCATTGACCAGCCTCCAGAACTATAAGAAATAAATCTCTGTTCTCCATAAATTACCCCGTTTCAGGTATTCTGTAATAGCAGCACAAAATGGACTAAGACAGTGAATAAATAGGAGTCTGAAATAGTTTGACATTTTAGTGGAGAGTCTCAGTGTATTGTACCAAACGCAGGTGGTACAGAAAGTGAACTTCTTCAGAAAAAAAAGTAAGATACTGTTGACATCTGGCAGAGCTCAGGCTCTGCCAGCATTGATGAAACCCTGTGAGATCCAGATGGCTTCGAACCTGACTACAAGCAAGCTGGCTGGTGCAGTGGCCCACCTCTCCTGTAAAATAGGTCAGACTCTCCTTTCAGAATAAGCATGCTGTTTGAAAAGTAAAGTACAACTTAAATCCCAATGGGAAGCTCCGTGCCAACAGCATGGTTATGGTGAATCCCATTTTAAAACTTTTTTTTTTTTTTTTTTTTTTTTAAATCGTGTATTTCAGTTTGCAAGTCCGGTCCTGTCACTCACTGCCTTAGTCCACAGCAACTCTGTTGCAGAGACAAAGGAGTCATTAATTCATTGCACATAATTTCAGACAGTTGCTTTTTAAAACACCTGCTCTGAGCTGGAGGTGGATATAGCAAGTTGGAACATGTTGACTTATGTAGCTTCCAATAGCCCTTGGTAATGACCGCAATAAAGACAAATCCAATTAGTCTGGCCCAGAAGGGTGGCTCCTCTCGCGGATACAGATGATTTGAGTGGCAGCTTAGAGCATTTCTTTTGCAATTAGAATTTGAGGGCAAGCAAAGTTCTGCCAAAAAACCAGGCCAGTGACCCAAATGAGGTGGTCAGCCTTCCTGGGGGGCAGTCCAGCTTTCCTGTAGGCAACTCAGCCTCTGGAGGCCCCTGACGCTCTAGGGTGAATCACTTCTCCCCTATGGCTTTCAGTTCTGGTTTTCGGGCAGCCTAGAAGGGAAACAGGCAACAGAGGCTATATGGACTGTGGATCTCAAACCAGCGCTCCATACTTGGCCCCTTTGTGCAGAGCCCAGGCTGTGTGGTGTACATGGGATGGTGGCATATCGGAGATTTTGTTGCACACAAATAATAAAGTGCTAAAGAATCATTCAATGGGCAGTTATGCCAGTGAGCAGGAGGAGTTCATAAAGTGAGAGAGGGAATTATGCATTCCTGTGGGTCCAAAAGAAATTTTGGTCCTGGAGAAAATGAATGCAACCAATTGGCCTAATTCAGGGGCTGTTCTTCCTTCTACACTAGACCAGGGATCCTAAAAGACAGAGGCCAGGTCTTTGTCACACTTGTGTCCACAAGGGGTGCATAGTAAGTTCTCTGTGAGTATTTGTTTGCTGAACTCAATTGGACCTTAAAAAGTCTTTTATTTGAAAATTCAAACTTAAGGAATAGATTCAAGGAAAAGTAAAGGGAACATCTGTATATACTTGACTCAGATTCACTATTGTTTGTTGGCATTTTCTTTGCACATGCTTTTTTTTTTTTATCACTTTCTCTCTTTTTCTATATTCCTAATATTATTTTTTCCTGAATCATTTGGGAGTAGGTTGTATATAGCATGGTTGTTTATCCTCAAATGCTGCAGTGTGTATTTGCTAAGAATAAACAGATTCTCTTCAAAACGGTATAATTAACCTCAGTAATTTTAACATTAACCCAGTACTTTATCTGTTCTATCACTGGTATTTCAACAGTCTTAATTATCCCAAAATATTATTTATAACCTATGTTCTTCCTCCAGTATAGCAGCTGCTCTAGGATCAGGTATTGTCAAGTCTCCTTCCATCTAGTAACAGAACATTTCCATAGCCTTTCTTTGTCTTTTGTGACATCGATTTTTTTTTTTTTTGGTTGGGGAGGATGGAGTCTCTGTCGCCCGGGCTGGAGTGCAGTGGCACAATCTCGGCTCACTGCAACCTCCGCCTCCTGGGTTCAAGTGATTCTCCTGCCTCAGCCTCCCGAGTAGCTGGGACTACAGGCACATGCCACCACACCTGGCTAATTTATTGTATTTTTAGTAGAGATGGGGTTTCACTGTGTTAGCAAGGATGGTCTCGATCTCCTGACCTCGTAATCTGCCCACCTCGGCCTCCCAAAGTTCTGGGATTACAGGCATGAGCCACCGTGCCCAGCTGTTTTTGTTTGTTTGTTTGTTTTGTTTTTTTTTTTTTTTGAGATGAAGTCTCACTCTGTCACCCAGGCTGGAGTGCAGTGGCACAATCTTGGCTCACCACATCCTCTGCCTCCCGGGTTAAAGCAATTCTCCTGCTTCAGCTTCGAGAACAGCTGGGATTGCAGGCAAGCGCCACCACACCCAGCTAATTTATATATATATATTTTGAGACAGAGCCTTGCTCTGTTGCCCAGGCTGGAGTGCAGTGGCACAATCTCGGCTCACTGCAACCTCTGCCTCCCAGGTTCAAGCGATTCTTTTGTCCCAGTCTCCCAAGTAGCTGTGACTATAGGCGTGTGCCACCATGCCCAGCTAACTTTTTGTATTTTTAGTAGAGACAGGGTTTCACCATGTTAGCCAGGATGGTGTCGATCTCCTGACCTTGTGATCCACCCGCCTTAGCCTCCCAAAGTGCTGGGATTATAGGCATGAGCCACCGCGCCCGACCAAATACCTGTTTTTTTAAACTACCCAGTCTGTAGTACTTCATTATCGCAACCATGAGAAACCAATGCAAGGACTATATGATGTGGAGCTCTTGGTTCTTTTCTTGTCTCTTATTTCTCTTTAGGTCCTGTGCTGTAATTTCCATGTCATTTATTACAATGTGTGGTTTCATGACTCAGGAAAATGTCCTGAGAACTTGGCATGGGATTTGCTCCTCTACTCCTCCCAAGTATTTTTTTGTAAGCCACTTATATTCTGATGTCAAATCTCTTTCTGCTTAAACCAGTTAGAAAAGTTTGTTTTCTGCAACTGAGCCTGATACCCTACCCACCATGCCCCACCCTTACACGTATATGTAAATCCTGGGAGACTGGGAACATCGCTGCTTCTGCCACAGGCTAAACACAACCCAGGAAACTCCTGACTGCAGAGCCATCCTGCCTCTACCATGATCTGAGCCAGCACCGTGGTTGCTCCCCACCTCCCGTTTCTCCTTGTAACTAGCACTGCGTTTATGTCTGTCATGGATGCACTGAATTGGTTGAACCTATATCATATGCAGGACTCTAGATGCAGGAGAGTCTGAGGAATGTTTTTGACACTTGAGTCTCTGTAGTAGCGCAAGGCACTCAAAGAAACAGGATTGGATGTCAAGTCAGCTAGGCTTAGCATCTGCCAGAGGTGGGAGGACATTTCTCTCCTGCCCTGGCCTTTTTCTAGAGGAGAAAACCCTCCAGGTGAATTTAGACACCCTCATTTCTTTAGAGTTCTCCATAGTTTCTACTTTTGGCATATCATTAAGTTCTGCCTCTCTCTCTTTGTCTAGCAGTTTTGGAGTTTGAGATTTAACTCTTTCATGCTCTTTTCTTTGTGAAGGCTATGAAGGTTACATTAGAGCTCTGACTTAAAAGCCTGGGGCAATTTATAGCAGCTATTTTTCCAACCTGTAGGAGAAGCTACGAGACAGCAGTTGCATCTGTCTTCCCAGCATATTAGAGGCAAAAGGCGATTCTTTAAACCTCTAAGCACCACATCCCTCTGCTATGGCTTTTGTTCTCAAGGTTCTATTCCTGGGACAGGCTGCAGCTCTGTCTAACAATAACACTGCATGATATTCTGCGTCTGAATCTACCTCTGATTGGCTCCACCTTCTCTCTCCTGATGCTACTGACTGTTGCATACTTTGAAAGAGGGTCAACAACACATGCTGCTAATTGGCACTAGCACAGACTCTCACATATGTAATGTGTGTGGCCTAGCCACCCTCTTCCACTATTGCAACTGGGCACAAACCTTCAAAGGTGGCCCTGACACAGCCTTTGGCAGCCAGTGGGGTGGCAATGTGCTCTTGCAATGGCCCCGTGTTATGTGGTGCAGAAGAGCATGAAGGTGCAGTAGTGCCCAAACCCAGCAGCCATCTCGCCCTTTTTGGGGTGTCAGGTGAGCTGAGCTCACCCTGCATTTTCATTGCTTTGATGTAAGGAGCTGGGGAGTTTTAGGGACTCCTATGACTGTTGGCTCCAGGCTCTCCTGAAAACAAGCTGCACTGAAAGCTGCTCCCTGGCCTTCCTGAGCTCTTTGCTAAACACCGATTCACAGCTGCCCTGATCATATTTAATCTTGGGAAAAGGAGAGATGGGCACATACTTGGACAACGGGGTGTGATTGGTTGAGTCACATTGGTCATTGGTTTTCTGATTACTCGACCTGAATTTGCTTTTTACTGTATCACTTAGGGTCCTGGCAAGAGACAGATGGAATACTCCAATGGAGTCATTACAGAGTGTTAATCAAAATCAAAATCAAAATTTTAAGATGGCAAGGAAGATTTTATTCAAGTCAAAAGGGTCTACTACAGTGGAGTTTTGTAGTTGGTAGAAAATCAAACTCAACTCCAAATACAACAAGGGCAAGTGGATATTTCCAGCCAAGGAACAGGATGGGGTCAGTGGATGGAAAATTACTAAGAGAAAACATCAAGAATAGGGGATTCTTGCTAAATCCACTCAACAGGATTCTTGCTGAAGATGGGCCAGTGTGATTCAATATTGAGGGTGGGGGATGAGCAATTGATCAGATATCAACCATGGAGATTTTTGCTAAACAAATGCAGCAGGATTCTTGCTGAACCTGGACAAAACAGAAGGACAGAGTCCCAGTTCAGGGTCCCTGAGGGCTTAGAGGAGCCTGACTAGAGTTAGGTTAAAAAGATAGTCTTTTTTGACCAGTCCTCCTCCTCATTCAAGAAAAGACAGTCTTCTTTCCTTTGAACAATGTAAGTCAATTTTCTCATTCAACTGTGGTTCATTCATTATGGATCAGGCAGCCCATCTGTTGGGACTTGATAGTAGAGGATATTCGGTGAATAGTGTGAGCCGTCAGGCATTTTATGACAGGAATCTTGTACTTCAGTGGGCTGCCTTCGAGATTACTGGCTCAGCAGTCAGACTCACAAACAGATTTCCAATCAATTGACCAGGAGTGAACACAAAGGCTTCAAAGGTGCATATTTGGAGTTCTGAGAGAGGGGTCTGGGAATCCGGCGATGAATCTGATTCTGTCCAAATCGCAGGTGCCGTAACTGTTAAATAATAACTTTTCATGACACCTGTTCAATATGGAAAGGAAGACTATTCAAGGGAGGCTACTGCACTGGAGTTTTGTAGCAAGGGAGTATGACCAAGTTAAACTCCCAGAGGGACTTTTTGTAAAGTAGGGGGCTGGGGGGATGGTGGGGAGGTTAGGGATACCAACAAGAGGCAATGAAGTCCTCTTCAATAAGATGAAGCTGTTACCTCCCCTGAATAAGCCAACCCAGTCAGAAAACAGAGGGCCAGGGAACCTGTATGCACCCCACATAGGTCAGCCTCTGGGTATCAATGAAGGGTAGAAAGTGGATGTGAAGAAACAAACAGAAGATCACTAGCAGCTACAGTAGGAATGAATTTTCCCCACAAAGCCCAAGCACAAGCAATGCCTCATTGTTTTATGAAATCAGGTTAAAACTAGCTCAAGGTGCCATTATTATCATAAATCACAAATAGCTGTCCTCAGGAGGCTACCCTATTTGACAACGGGTTATGTAAAAATCCTGGGTCTTGTGTGAGTATGGGAAAAATTGGAAGAGGCTGTTCCTTTAGCTCACAGTGGTCACCATCTGTAGTGGACACCTGCATTTTTGCCAGCATGCTCCCTTCTTTTAGCCAGCAGCTCCTCATGTTCATCTGGGAAATGATTCCTCCCCAATTGTATATAGCTTAGTGGGATTGTCAATTAAGTGTCCTGCCCTACTGGGCCAATAGGTGGGTGACCAACCCAGCCAAGCCAATCACGCTCAGTTTTCTGGGAGTTTGAACTGGAGCTGTGTTCTTGACATCTGGACAGAAAACGGGTGGAACCCAATGCTTTGTCACAGTGGAGTCCCCAGGAGAGTGGAGATGGCTGGTTATCTAGATCTCCTGAACTGTTCTTATTATTTCTTTTCTGAGGCCTGGTTTCCAGTTTTCTCCTTGATTCTGTGAAATACTCCTTATTTATCCTCTTTTGGTGGCCAGCATTGTTTGCTTACAATCATAGCACCCTGACAGGTACACCAGTGTTGCCATGGCTGCATCTGGCACATGGAGCCCTTGCTGTCCTGATTTCTAGACAGCCACACTGGTTGCAGGAAGCTCCTCACTGAGATCTTGCCTGGACCAGGCAAGAGGGAACCCTTGCTGCAGCTCATAATGCTATGGGTTTTTTGTCCAGCCCCCCTGCCATCCCATCTCCAGGCAGCCTTGTGGAGACGGAGGGCAAGTTCCTAGCACTTGTGGACAGCACTATCCCTTTCCCTCCTCCCTGTCTTGAGGAATTCCTACCACCTCCTGGGCTGGGCCAGTTTCCTGTCTTCCAGTTCTCAGAGCTCTCCTCTTTTTCAGCAAGTCTCTTATCTCCCCTTGGTAGCCTACACTTTTGAAAACAGAATCTGTTCACTCCTTTCAGATAAGGTAAGTCCTGATTTCTAAGGCTCAAAGGCTTTGGATTGTCTTCTTAAATGGTGAAGTGTTGGGAAATATATCATTCTGTTGTGAAGAAACTTCAGTACAAGAATCCAACCAAACAAAACCAAAACATAGTTAATTTCTTATGAATTACCTGTAACATGACTTTCTATATCTTTCGACAGAAGGGATCTCAGCCTACCCGCATGAGTATCTGTGGGATCTCCCCACAGCCCTCTCCCTTCTCTCTCTCTCTGTGTACAGTTACATTCATGATTATGATAGCTAAATCATAAATATAATTTACTACTAAGCTATAGGGATTTTTTTGTATGCGAATAAATTATATTTGTCCATAATTGCACATATGTCATGATATATAAACATTATTTCTACTGGAAGTGCTAGCAAAATGAATGACATAATGTCTATAGTAATTGAATCCTTACTCACCGGCATGAATCTTTAATGATCTTAATACACATAATTGAGTTAAAATGATTAAGACTAAAACTGTTTGGCTTGCTTTCCCTCGTGGTACCCATCTGTCATCACCCACTCACCTGGCTTCAGAGCTGGTCACTCTTCCCTCCTTGACCCTTCAAGAAGGCCTCTCTTTTTGCCTGGATAACTTCCATCTGGTCAGTCTTTTGCCTTCCATTTTTTTCATGCCTAAGTTATATCTCACCACCTGTAAGGCATTTTCCTAGATTAATTGGAATTTTGCCTTGATATAATGAATATACACTGAATCATAATTTATGTTAATCCTCTCTTCCAAACATGTGTGTTTGCTTCCCTACCTGTCTGATCTATCTATCATCTATTAACTTTGTTTATATAAGGGAAAATTTGTTCACGTGCTAAAACCTAATTAAGAATGAGATCTCATGTGTGTATAAAGCAGAAGGAGCCTTCTCAAGAAAAGAAAAAATCTCTGTACTTCATATGCCAATTTGCATTTATAAAGCTTTGGACAAACAGGAATAATTTTCTCTAATTTTTTTTTTTTTTTAGAATAAGGATTTGAAGCCATCTATAACAATGTGATGGTAACAGATTAAGACTATATATTGACACAAGAATCATGAAGGGACAAAAGGTGATCTAGAAAGAATTTTCTGTCATTAAAGTTTTTTATTTTTTATTTTTATTATTTATTTATGTTTGAGACGGAGTCTTGCTCTGTCACCCAGGCTGGAGTACAGTGGCACGATCTTGGCTCACTGCAAGCTCCGCCTCCTGGGTTCACACCATTCTCCTGCCTCAGCCTCCCAAGTAGCTAGGACTACAGGCATGTGCCACCAGGCCCGGCTAATTTTTTTGTATTTTTTTTTTTAGTAGAGATGGGGTTTCACCGTGTCAGCCAGGATGGTCTCGATCTCCTGATCTGCCCACCTCGGCCTCCCAAAGTGCTGGGATTACAGGTGTGAGCCACCGCGCCTGGCCATGTCATAAAAGTTTATAATGATTCTGGTAGGCCGGATGGTTGGGAAATTTCTTGCATTGCTGGCAATTCAAGTTAGCGGTAGAAGAAGACAAATTATGCTGTACTGTGATTTGTGATTACGGATCATAAAATGTCAAATTTCAACATAAAAGAAGAACAGAGAAAATCAGTTATGTTTATGTTTTATATCCCAGGAAGCAAAGAGTGATTTCAGTATTTTTGTTGTTTATGTCCCTCAAGTCCCTTTCAAAGAATGCTTAAAAATTTATGCATGTCTGCAGAAACTGATGGGATCCACAAGAAAATACTTCTAGGTACAAACAAATAAAAAGTCCTTCTTTACAGCACTCAGGTATCATCGACATTGAATTCCCATTAGAGATCTTTCTTTTCATTCTTTTGGGTTATGCATTGTCTGTCCTTTTTTTTTTAAGAGACAGAATCTTGCTCTGTCACTCAGGCTGGAGTGCAGGGGTATGATCATAGCTCACTGCAGCCTTGAACTCCTGGAGTCCAGCGATCCTCCTGCCTCAGCCTCCCAAGTAGTGTCTGTCCATAGTACGCATGTGTTTGTTAATTCAGCAAACCTTTATTGAAATCAACATCTTCAGGGCACTGCAGGGCACATAAGATATAGAAAGCTTAATTCTGCTAAAGCATATGCAACTTGGTGGGCTGCGTAGGCAGGTTAATAAATAACTATGCACAGCAACATAGGTTACGTGATGTAAGTGGTGAAGGAGGGAGCTCGGGGAAGCTCCAGCCAATCTGTGGGCCCTGTGTAAATCTGATACTGCCTCCTGAAGCCAGTCTATAAAATCCAGTGCACCCTGGGGTGGGCTGGAATTCCCACTTCGGTGCCCTTCTCTCTTGGAAGAGAGGGAGCTGTTTTCCCTTCTCTTTCTTTTGCCTATTAAACCTCCATTCCTAAACCCACTTTTTGTGTCCGCGTACTCGATTTCCTTGGCATGAGATGACAAACCTTGGTATTACTCTAGACCGCGACACCTCTTCATTAATGTCTGAGAATCGGGAGCTCAGATGTCCAAGGGAAGTCCCAGGTCAAGTAGAGAGAATTTGCCTCTTCTTCAATTTTTTTTTTTTGTTTGTTTGTTTTATTCTGACCCTCAACAGATTAGATAATGCCTACCCTCCTTGGTGTGGGTGTATCTCTACTCAGCCTCCTGAGTCAAATGCTGGTCTCTTCCAGAAACACCCAGAATTAATGTTTTAGCAGCTATCTGGGCATCCCTTAGGCCTGTCAAGTTGACACAGAAAAACAATCATCACACCCTATTTACAAAATCACAAATGGAATATGAACCAGTTGTGAGCACATGCGCTGGTGTTTTAAAGCAGACCTACTCAGATGGTTTTCGGGGGAACTTCTGTGTTTTGAGTGTCAGAGTCCAGAAGTGGGGTACAAGCAGGCAGTCTAACTTGTTCAACTGGCAGTTTGCTCCACTGCCTCTCTTGCTCTAGGGGCCCTCTTTCTTTAAGGACCTTTTTGAATTCACCTTGAGGACACCCTCTTGCCCTTCCTCTTAGACTCATTCTCCCCATCTGTGATGGTTAATATCGAGTGTCAACTTGATTCCATTGAAGGATGCAAAGTGTCTGTGAGGGTGTTGCCATAGGAGATTAACATTTGAGTCAGTGGACTGGGAGAGGCAGATCTACCTTCAATCTGGGTGGCCACCATCTA
Source organism: Homo sapiens (assembly GCF_000001405.40). Lineage (NCBI taxonomy): Eukaryota > Metazoa > Chordata > Mammalia > Primates > Hominidae > Homo > Homo sapiens. The sequence goes on along the minus strand of NC_000010.11, from coordinate 14,350,208 downwards.
ATCAGCTGCTGGTGTGGCCAGGATAAAAGCAGACAGAGGAATGTGGAAAAACTAAACTGGGTGAGTCTTCCAGCCTCCGTCTTTCTCCCCGGCTGGATGCTTCCTGCCCTTGAACATCAGACTCCAAGTTCTTCAACTTTGGAACTTGTGGCCCTGTGACCACAGACTGAAGTCTACACTGTTGGCTTCCGTACTTTTGAAGTTTTAGGACTTGGACTAGCTTCCTTGCTCCTCAGCTTGCAGATGACCTATTGTGGGACCTCACCTTGCAATCATATGTGTCAATACTTCTTGATAAATTCCCCTTTATATCTACATCTAGCCTATTAGTTCTGTCCCTCTAGAGAACCTTGATTAATACACCATCTAAGACATCAATGGACTGACCAGCTACGAGCTTGAGAAAGCTGAGCAACCTCACAGACAGCTTCATTTAGTGCATTGATCCCAATCCCATTTACAGATATTCCGACTAATTTCATCTTCTGTCTACCGCATATGCTCTTAAAATTCCCCTGTAACTACAGGAGCCCATACCAAAAAAAAGTGGAGGAGAATGGAGCAAATTTTAAAAAATCTGTTACATTACATTTCTAATAACCTCATTGCCAAATGTCTACCAGGACATCAGTGGGTTTTAAATTTGGACCTTTGGGCCAGTGTTTCTTTCTATATTTGGGGTAAGATATTGGATTTGGATACTGAGACTAGAAGGGGTCGGAAGCATAGGACTGGTTGTTGCAGCAGCAAAAGGGAGGCTGCTTAAATTTCCACACTCCTGGCCAGGACTAAGGACTCCGCATCCTTTTTTTCCCTTTTCTTATAGAGGCTATTAGTCCCCTGTTTTTCCAAAGTTTAAATGCAGGAAGCCATTGTGGATGCAACTCCCTGCTGGCAGCCCTGCCTCCTGCCTCCCATTAGAGGCTGTCACAAGGGATTTGTCCCGGGCAAGGAGCCAGCACACCCCCTGATGGGCAGTGGCCCCTGCCCAGAGCTCTTCAGCTCTCTCCCATACAGAATAGCCATGGTGTTCCTGGGAAGAAGCAGTTGCATGACCCAGTATGGAAATGAAGTTCTTGGAATGGACTTTTGAGACTTGGAGAAGTTGTCACTTTGCAGATTCTAAAAGGAAGGCTAATCTTGTTTATAAAACTGTTTAGCAAGTGTGTGAGCCTGGGAAAGGCTTTATAGAGCCTTTATAAGCAGATAATTGGGACATAATGAGATGTGTTTGGCCACTTTGGTGGAAAAATGAGAGGAGTACTTAGATATTATGTAAAATTAGTCTTAATCACATTCTATCCACGTACTCAACACCTATCCCCAACAGCAGCTATAAACTAAATGGGCAAAACCCTGGTAATTAAAGTAGAACTCCCAGCATTTGTATATTTTCTCTTGCTGTATATTAACACATGATGTATAGGAACATGAATATGTAACATAACCGTGTGGTTAAGACTGTTTCACAGTAAACGAATGGAGGAACCTGAATGTTACCACCTAGTTATTGGGCTTTGCGGCGTTTGGCATTAATTATTTTATGTCAAACATTCTCTGCATTTTTTTTCGGGGTCTAATTAGGCTGCATTTGTGTTTTCTTTTGGGAAACCTAATGGGGGGAGAGGGAGGATTTACCTTTGGCCATTCTGTAATAAATGCTGTTTTAGCTCTTATTCTAGCAGTTCTTTCTTCAACTCTCTTCTGTTCTTGCCTTGGGACAGGCTCAAAGTCTCCTAGGCCCCTCTTGTTGCAAACTAAGAGATGGAGTGAGGTGCTGGCTGCCAGCAGCTGGTTAGACTGTTTCTCAAGCAGAAACACAACATTTAAACTCCATGCTAACACTGGGCCTGCCCATGGGCAGCCGTGGAAGAAATCATTGCTAAGATGAGAATTAATGGAGATGAAAGTACAAGTGACAAAAGTGGAAATAAAACACTTACGGCAACTATTTCATGAGATGGTGTCATAACATTTAGGAGAGAATGCGGAAAGCTATGTTGCAGTTCTTTTCTCTTGGATTATTTGTATTTTTAGGTTAATTCCCACCCTATCCCCCCAGCCGTCAGTATTTAAACCATGTGACTTGAATAATTTTGTGTTTAAAAATATTCTGGAATGGAAAATTTTCCTATATTGCATGTGGTTAATTTATTAACTAGTTTCTCTTTTAATATTTTTAGTATTTGTAGGTAAACTTCTTCCTGAGGACTTTAGTAGAAATATCACATTCAGTCTATCCCTATGAAACGCTAATATGGTTATATTTTTACATTAGTAAATAATGTGTGTGTATATATGTGTATGTGTATATATATGTGTGTGTATATGTATATATGTACATGTATACTGGTGTACACACACATATATGTATATGTGTATACACATATATATATTTTGAGACAAGATCTCACTCTGTTGCCCAAGCTTGAGTGCAATGGCACGATTACAGCTCACTGCAGCCTGGAACTCACAAACCAGTGATCTCCCACCTCAGGCCCCCAAGTAGCTGGGACCAACTGTGCACCACCACATCTGGCTAATTTTATTTTTGGTATAGACAGGGTCTCACTATGTTGACCAGGCTTATCTTGAACTCCCAGGCTCAAGTGATCCCCCTGCCTTGGCCTCTCAAAGTGCTGAGATTGCAGGCATGAGCCACCAATCCCAGTCAATATTGTCCATATTTAAAATATAAACATGCTTTAAAACATAGCAAGTCAGTGATGAATTTGCTCATAGTCATAGAAGCTAGACTTCTGGAAATAACTCCTGAGGTTTGTTCCTTCCCCTGAACTCTCTTTTATATTAAACCTTGCTAGGCAGTGTTTGGTCTTGATGCTTGTTATGGTTTGGTTATGTCTTCACCCAAATCTCACCTTGAATTCCCAGATGTTGTGGGAGGGACCCAGTGGGAGGTAATTGAATCATGGGGGCAGGTCTTTCCCATGCTGTTCTCATGATAGTGAATAAGTCTCACGAGATCTGATGGTTTTATAAGGGGGAGTTTCCCTGCACAAGCACTCTTCTCTTGTCTGTCACCATGTGAGACATGCCTTTCACCTTCCACAGTGATTGTGAGGCCTCCCCAGCCATGTGGAACTGTAAGTCCATTAAACCTCTTTCTTTTGTAAATTGTCCGGTCTTGGGTATGTCTTTATCAGCAGTGTGAAAACAGACAAATACAATGCTCCTTGAGGGTCTGTACACCCTGCAAGATAGTTATGGAGAGTCACGGTTTGAGGATTTGTCCTCTCAACTTCGTAGCAATGCTGAGATAGACATCCCAAAATTTCTTTGCTCCCCGCTCTTTGCTTGACCTTTCTGCCTTGACACTAGCTAGGGTGATGAGTAAAAAGGCTGACTTCATGTATAAGGTCATGTTCGTTCAGCTTGTTGCTCTGATTGGGCTCAACTGCATTAGCTCCTGTGGGATGATGATGGATTTATCATCAGTTCTCAGGTGCAGGATGTTTTCCTTCTGGCTGGTGCTCTGTTTCTGATGGTGTAAATAGGCCCAGAGCTCTCTGATCTCTGTGGTAATTTGGCTGGTGACCCCTGCATTCTAGGGTGATTTTTGGTTTGATACCAGTGGATATACTTTATAGTCTTCTGTTTGTAGAGATACACATCACCTTAAATAAACATAGTGCACAGAAGTCGGTATTTATGAAGAGAAAAAATCCAGTGGTTGTATGTGTTACAAGGAGATGATCAGTTTTCAAAAATATTTATCACAGCATTCTTTTTTGAGTAGGATCCTTATCTGTTCTTTATTTATTCCACTTATCAGTTAAAACCAATGTTGCTCTCTTACTTTTTTTGATTTGCCATCTCTTTGTTCAAGTTTTTATAAAGATAGGTTATTTTCAAAATATAAACAGCATGGAATATTGAGACAATCATCTAAATAATTCGAGCCAAAGATGACCGCAAAATCTCTACAAAATTGAAGGAAAAGTCATCTGAATGCATATTGTCATTTACCTGAGTGCATATTATTATTTACTTATAAAATATCTTATTCAAATATTCTCATACAGGTTTCAAACTATCTTCATCATCAATTATGAAAACTAATCACCGCAATAATTAAAAACATTGGCCAAGTTTCAGCCATGTTAAAACTCTAGTTTTTTTTTTTTTTTTTTTTTTTTTTTTTTTTTTGAGATGGAGTCTCACTGTCTCCCAGGCTGGAGTGCATTGGCGTGATCTCGGCTCACAGCAAGCTCCACCTCCCAGATTCACGCCATTCTCCTGCCTCAGCCTCCCGAGTAGCTGGGACTACAGGTGCCCACCACCACGCCTGGCTAATTTTTTGTATTTTTAGTAGAGACGGGGTTTCACCGTGTTAGCCAGTCTGGTCTCGATCTCCTGACCTCGTGATCCACCCGCCTCAGACTCCCAAAGTGCTGGGATTACAGGTGTGAGCCACTGCACCCGGCCTAACAACTCTAGTTTTTAAAATAAGCTTTTCATTTTAGAGCAATGTTAAATTTACAGAATAATTACAAAGATAGTACAGAGAGCTCCCATGTATACTCTACATATAGTTTCCTTTATATTTAATGTCTTACAGCTTAAGGTATGGTTGTCACAATTAATGAAGCAATATTAATGTGTAATTATTAACTGAAGTCCATACTCTTTTCCTAATGTCATTTTTCTGTTCTGGGATCCTGTCCAGGATACCTTATTACATTTAGTCCTCTTGTCTCCTTAGTTTCCTCTTGGCTGTGACACTTTCTCAGACTTTCTTTGTGTTTGATGACCTTGGCAGCTTTGAGGAATACTGCCCAGGTGTTTTGTAGAATGTCCCTCAACTGGGATTTGCCTGATGCTTTTCTCATTCTTAGACTGGGGTTGTGGGTTTTGGGGAGAAAGATCACGGAGGTGGTGTGCCATTTTCATCGTATTGTATTAAAGGTATGTAATGCCAACAAGACTTATTGCTGTTGGTTTGACCTTGATACACCCAGCTGAGGTGGTGTTTGCCAGGCTTAGCTTTTCTTTAAATGGCAAATTTCCATTGGATACTTAAAAGATGATAAAGAAGTTTGTTTGTGTGCTACGTATTGTGAACACAACTTTAACTTGAAACAAATTATGATCATAATGTTCACCTTGGATAGTGAAAGACTGTATTGACATGAAATGAACCCAAACTACCTAAAATTGGCAAAATATCTGAATTTCTGATGGTTAAAATTTCAATTGGCTTTTGAATATTGAAAGTATAAAAACTATACAAAAATTCTAAGTCTTCAGAATCTTAGGGTAAACAGCAGATTTTTACCACTGAAAGACAAATATTAATGTAATTTATTTATTAAAATATTTGTGTTTTCCATGCTAGAATCACAGATGCATGTTAGAATTAAAGCCCAAATGAATAAATTTACCTTTTACTTCTTCTTACCTGTGAGTCTATTATTTGTAAGAATATAGGGAATAGAGAAACTTCCAAATGTTAGTAAAACAATCAAGTAATCAAAGAGATGAAAAGAAATGACAAGTCTAGGCTATATAATATGACAATGAAACATTGTCTGCATAAAAGTCGTTGTTGATAATTGGAACTCCCATCAATGAATCCAGACACAACCATTAATCAGTGCTATAGACACGAATAGATGAAACATATTCACAGGGGTCAATTTGAAATATGTCAGCAAGGTATCTTCTCATCTTGCTTAATTTTCATGTTGGTTAAATCATTAGAATTTCTTCTTCTTGCTCTCTGGTGTATCAACCATTGGCCTGTAACCACGAGAAGGAAATAAGCCCAGCTGAACAATACATCCAATATTTTTAGGTATATCCCTGGAGACACACTTTATTTAATTACTGAAGGAAGAGGCTCTTTAGTGACCTATTTACCCCTCTGTAGGATGCCATGGTACATAAGATGACATCTGCCTGATGAGTGTTTAATAAAATTCAGCACCTGTTCCTAACCTCACCCATGAAAACTGGGGATAAAAATATTCTTCGTCAATATGATAAAAAGGTCCACTTAATATCACAGATAAAAATCACACTGAATTTAGATATTTCAGAGCAGCTCACCTGCAACCTGATGAAAACATAGGTGTGCTTTCCGTCAGTACAATTATTTATTGAGCATCTATTTTCTAATGCCAAGGAGAGAGTAATGAGAAAAACAGGTAGAAACCCTTGCTCTCTGAAGCTTACAGTTTAGTTTATTATGTATATGGAAAAAAGATAGGGAGATGAGAAACAAGTATATAGAATGTCAGATGGTGAAAAGTACAACAGGAAAAACTGGAAGAGGAAGGGCTTAGGGAACAAAGAACAAGATGAAGCACATTTAAATAAGGGAGTCAGGGAAGGTCTCACTGAAACTCTGACATTTGAGCAAACACCTGGAGGAGGTAAGCGGGGAGGCTGTGCAGATACCCAGGGAAGGGTTTTCCAGGCAAAGGAACCAGCCAGTGCAAAGGCTCTGAGGCAGGAATGTATCTGCTGTGCTCGGGGAATAATAAGGAGTCTCCTGTGGCTGGAAAGAAAAGTCTCCTGATGCTGAGCAGTAGGAAGTAAAGTCGGACAGGTGGAGGAGGCAGAGTATACAGGACTTTGCAAGGGACTCTAAGGACTTTGGAGGGTTTTGAGCAGAAGTGTGATAATATCTGACAAGTTCTCACAGATCCTCTAGTGATCTTTGACTTATGATTAGGAGGCCAGCACAATCATCCCAAGTGAGAGTGGTGGGTGGCTGAGCTCAGGGTGGTAGAGGGGAGATGGAGAGGAGCTGGATTACAGAGCTATTTTGAAGGGGGCGTCAGCAGGTTTTACTGACAGGTCAAATATGAAATGAAAGTTTCTTTTTGGCATGAATAACAGGAAGAATGGAGGGAGAACTTTCACAATGATTATTTTATAGAGATTTATGTTTTCTCGGCAGCATAATAAAGTACAGGAAAGAAATAAGATTTAAAAGGAACACTATTAGAAGGCTATGTGATTATACACCTAGACGAGCTAAAGGAATCAACCAGAAAGCTATTGGGATAATAGAACAGCGAAGAAAAACTGCTGTTCAAAAGATACAATAACAGATCAGTTGGATACTCAAATGCCTTTATTAGCCAGCCAAAACTATAGTAACAAGAGACTTCTGATTTATAATAGCCACAAAATTGAATTATGTATTAATTAAACTTATGTAAGGGTATATAATATGTATCAAAGAAGTCTGCAAAATTTTAATGGGGAAAAAAAGGCTTGAAAACAGAGAAATATGTTCTACTCCTGGGTAGGGAGATCAAATGGAAGTTGCCATTATTTCTGGTTTAATTTGTAGGTTTAATATAACTTCAGTTAAAATAACAATGATATCATTGGCATTTTATAGAATTCAGAATAATTGATTCTGCAGTGTGCTGGGAAAGATAGATAAGAATATTAGAGGGCTAATGAAAGAATAATAATTATCTCACAAAATAGACTGTGTTAAAAAACAACAGTAACTGAACCAGTGTAACACTGGATTAGAAGGAGAAATACAGACCACGGAAATAAAATAGAGTATGAATTAATAATTTTAAGTACATATGAAAACATGGCAAATGAGTATAGTAACATCATAAAGGACATAATTATTTTGTACGTGCTACTGGAATAACTTTGTTTCAATATGGCAAAAATTATTTCAAAGAATTACAATAAAAATTAAATCTTACACAAAGAAATAGTTAATGTAACCAAATGGAGAAACCAGGTTACATTATTGAAGATATTTTGAAGAAAAAATGGACAAAGATGTTCGAGTAAAATTTAAACATTTGCACAATTAAAATAAAGACAAAATAGTAGCAAAATAAAATATTTTAGGAAACTGCAGGAAGTCCAAGTGTCATCTGGGCAGTGCTACCAAATGTTCTTCAGAGTTTCTGACATTTTTCAAATCTCCTTACAACAGATGGAGACTTAGTACATGAAATATATAGAGCTCATAAAATTTCTAAAATTAACCCCCAGTCTCCAGTAGACAAATATACTCGCATATACACAAATAAGTCACACAAAAGAGAAATTACTTCACATCATTTATAAGGAAAGAAATAGAAATTAAATAATTAGTGAAGTAAATTTCACATCTATTAAATAAGCCCAAATCTGGGGGAAGCATTTGTGAATCTTGAAGGAAAGGTGCCTTCTGCACTAGCAGTGACATTATTAATGAGTTCGGTCCTTCAGTAGAACAATGTTTTAGGTAGCATTAAATTATTTTACCTGCCAGGCACAGTGGCTCCCGCCTGTAATCCCAGCACTGGGAGACTGAGGCAGGTGGATCATTTGAGGCCAGGAATTCGAGACCAGCCAGGCCAACATAGTGAAACTCTGTCTCTAGTAAAAATACAAAAATTAGCTGCGTATAATGGTGCATGCCTGTAGTCTCAGGTACTCAGGAGGCTGAGGCAGGAGAATCGCTTGAACCTGAGAGATGGAGGTTGCCATGAGCTAGGATTGTGCCATTGCACTTCAGCCTGGGTGACACAGCGAGACTCTTTCTCAAAAAAAAAATAAATAAATACAGATAAAATATTTTTAGCTTTATTTTGGGAAACCCATTGCAGCGAAGTTTTTATATGAAAACAATTTAAAAGGAGATAAGTACTACTTGTACAAAGATGCATTATATTAGCTCTGGGTTACCTGTAATCATGAACAATAACTAGAAACCAAATACATGTTTACAAACTGGAGAATGATGATGAAGTAATCAATAGTTTAATAATCTGATGCATAAATCAGATTCGTGCTTACTGTGAATCTGAGATAGGAAAGTAGAAAAATAGAAGAAATAGGACATGACATTTTCCCCATGATCCAAATATAGGAATATGTTTACCTATGGGTGAATATGGAAAATGTCATCGAGAAAGGTAGTTGAGTCTAGATGAAGAAACCTGGATTGTAATTTGTATAACATTTCAAAAGTTAACATTGAAGAACTCATGTAAACATCGACATACTGTATTAGCAGATCGGTAGGAGATGTTTGGGTGTTGCAAAAAAATGTATCGAAGGAGCATTTTCTATGCTTTGACTTGCTTAGAGAGTGTCACTCTTTTTTCTTTTCTTTTTTTTTTTTTTTTCAGCATTGGGATGGGCATGAACTTCAAGTCTATTGACACCTTTGTTCTGTGGGTTCTTGAGGCAGGAGTCATGGGGCGTGTGGGGCTGGGAAAGTTGACCCAGGTTGTCACGCTGCATGGAGGCACCTGAGCTGCAAGACTCTAGGTCTTGGGGGAGCCATCAAGCTGAGTTGCCCCCAGCAGATGTTGCCATCTGAGGACAGGTCATTGGCCAGCAGGACAGTGGTCAGTAGCTGGACAAGGGGCTGGAGAAAATGAGGACAGAAGAGGATGCAGCCTGCCAGAAGAGTCAAGAGCTCGCTAGGGCTTTTGGATCACAGCCACATGACCTAGGGTTTGGGGCCAGGGTTGGAGTCGGGTGAGACTGGAGTGCTTGGCAGAGGACATGGGCAGAAGCAGCTATGTGAGTCCAGCTGCCCCAGCAAGGATGTGGCCGGTGAAGGCTGCAAATACCAGGTCCCCTTGGGACAATGCAGGATACCAGTGGGTTCCTCACTCTGGTTTACATTGACTCTGAGCTGAGACAGCTGAGTCTGCTGGCCACAGGCATCCCTGACCCTCCTAGGAGTCCCCGCAGAGACCAGAGTGGGGCTACCATGGGCAGCTCTACTTCAGAGGGGCAGGTGTTTCAGCCTGGGGCTGGGCTGCAGGGGGATAGGTCCAGTCCTGGCCTGAGGGCTCTGAGACAGCAATAGGGAGAGTGCCCAGAGAAACTTGGCCCAGCCAGGCTTTGTACTGGGTGGTCAGATCTTTCCTGGTCAGTTTCATCTCAGATCCCAGAGCTCTGGGTGTGTAGAGCAGATTCCGTCTTGCATCTTGGGGGCTTTTTCTGCATCCACTCTGGAATCTTCTGCAGTCATGTTAGGCAGCAACTCCGCGTGAAGGGCCTGGCATGGGAGAGGATGCTGGAGGGCACAAGCCATCAACCTGGGACCAGCAGCTACCAGGGTCTACCATTATCATGGTCAAGGCAGAAGAAGATGGGAACAGAAACATACAGAGCCTCTGATGAGATCAAGACTTTGAATGAAGGGACCTGCAAGTTCTTACCAGATTAAAATCTCTATTTACAAGGGGCCAGGCGTGGTGGCTCACGCCTGTAATCCCAGCACTTTGGGAGGCCGAGGCGAGCGCATCACGAGGTCAGGAGTTCGAGACCAGCCTGACCAACATAGTGAAACCCCATCTCTACTAAAAATACAAACAATTAGCTGGGCGTGGTGGCAGGCGCCTGTAATCCCAGCTACTGGAGAGGCTGAGGCAGGAAAATCGCTTGAACCGGGAGGCGGAGGATGCAGTGAACCGGAAGGCGGAGGATGCAGTGAACCAAGATCGTGCCACTACACTGCAGCCTGGGCGACAGTGAGAGACTCGGTCTCAAAAAAAAATCTCTCTTTACACCCTTTCACATTTATCAACAGTTCTTGCATTTTTACCTTTTTTTTTTTCTTTTCATCTCATGGGAAGAGACAAAACGCTTCCCTAGGGAAAATAATTCCTCCGCTGGGGGTTCTGTTCTCCTTCAGAATTCTCCTTACAGAAGCCTTTTCTTTTCATCTTACGGGCTTCTGGTGGTGTGTCTTAAAACACACCCAGGGCTCTTCTGCCCTTAGCAGCAGTACCAACGACAACAGCATCTTCCCTTGACTCTGCTGGTTTTCCAAGCCTTCCTTCTTATTTGAAAAATAAGCTATTTCTAAAAACATTGTTATTTTAATTAGTGAAAATGTAACGACAAGTTAAACAATTTGAAATGAGAATATCTTTCTTGGTCGGGCGCAGTGGCTCACTCCTGTAATCCCAGCACTTTGGGAGGCTGAGGTGGGCAGATCACCTGAGGTATGGAGTTTGTGACCAGCCTGGCCAACATGGCAAAACCCCGTCTCTATTAAAAATATAAAAATTAGCCGGGCATGGTGTCACATGCCTGTGATCCCAGCTACTCAGGAGGCTGAGGCAGGAGAATCGCTTGAACCCGGGAGGTGGAGGTTGCAGTAAGCCAAGATTGCGCCACTGCACTCCAGCCTGGGCGATACGGCGAGACTCCATCAAAAAAAAAAAAAAAAAAAAAAAAAAGAAAGAAAGAAAGAAAGAAAGGAAGGAAGGAAGAAAATCACTCTTACTCGCAGCGTTGTAACAACTAATTGTATTTTTTTTGCAGTTATCCTACCGTTCATGTCCCTTAAAGAGCCACTATACTGAGGTAGAGTAGGCATACAGTCATCTGCACGTATTTAAATGGGTTTTGACACATGTATATAGCCGTGAAACCATCACCATAATGAAGATAGTGAATATATCCACTGCCTCAAAGTTTCCCCTTTGTAATTTCTCCCCTCTGCCCCCTCCTACCCTGTTTCTCTTATGCTGTTCCTGCTCCCCAGGCATCTGATCTGCTTTTTGTCACTATGTATTAGTGTGAGTTATCTAGAATTTTACATAAGTGGAACCATAGATTATGAATTCTTTTTTTGTCTGACTTCTTTCACTCAGTATAATTATTTTGAGATTCATCCACATTGTTGACTGTATTAATAACTCATTCATTTTTATTAAAAACTCCAGCTTTTTAAAGGTATGATTTACACATCATAAAATTCACCTATTGCAAATGCATACCGTTCAGTTCCAGTAAATTTCCAGAGCTCTGCAACCGTCACCACAGTGCGATTTTAGAACACTTTTAAAGACCTTTTGTGGCCAGTTGCAGCCACTCCCTGCTTCCCCTTGTGGATTCAGGTAACAATCACCTATCTCCATGGGTGTGGGTTTTTTAAATATATATTTCATGTAAATTTCATAAGCGAAGTGTGGTCTTTTGCATCTAGTTTTTTCATTTACGTAATATTTTTTGAGTTCATCTGTATTGTAGCATACTAGTACTTCATTCCCTTTCATTGCTGAATAAGATTTCATTATACATATATACAATTTGTTTATATATTTACTCATTGATGGATGTTTGGGTTGTTTCCAAGTTTTCACTATGACAAATAAAGCTGACACAAATGTTCGTGTACAAGTTTCTGTGAAGTGTGTTTTAAATTTACATTTCCTTTTATTTGTTGTTGCTATATAAAAACACAATAGATTTTTGAATTGACCTTGCATCCTTCAACTTTGCCAAACTTGCTTATTAGCATTTAATAGATTCCATCGGGTTTTTTATATGAAAGATCATATTGGCTATGACTATAGACAGTTTTACTTTCTTTTTCAATCTGGATAGCTTTTATCTTCATTTCTTGGCTTACTGCAATGTCTAGAATTTCCAGTGTAATGTTGAGGAAAGGTGCTGAGAATGGTCACCCTTGCCTTGTTTCTGATTTTAGGGGAAAAACATTCAATCTTTTGCATTAATTATGCAGACAGCTATACATTTTTGTACATGCTTATCAGATTAAGGAAGTTCCCTTCTACTCCATGTTTGCTGAATTTTTTTAAAAAAGATCAGGAATAGATGTTGCATTTTATCAAATGCTTTTTATTCATCCATTCAGCTAATCACATGGTTTTTCTTTTTTAGTTAGTTAATATAGTAAATTACACTGACTGCTTTTAGAATAATAAACTAACCTTGCAATCCTGGAATATGGACTGGTTGGCCACAGTGCATTATCTTTTTAATATACTGTTGGATTCTATGTGGTGTCATTTTGTTTAAAATTTTTGCATTCTTGCTTATGAGGGACAAGGATCTGTTGCTTTCTTTTCTTTTATTGTCTTTGATTTTGATAACAGGGTAGTATTGGTGTCACAAAAATGAGTTCGTAAGTATTGACTCCTCTTCAGTGTTCCCAAAGAATGTATGTAAATTTGGTATAATCTTCCTTAAATCTTTGCTAGGATCCACCAGTAAATCTATCCGGGCCTGGGGTTTTCTTTGTGAGAATTTTTACTTCTTTTCAAATTGGTTTGCCTTTTATTTACTTTGTGGGTCTAAAATAATCTTTATTTGGCTTTCATTTTTGAAAGATAGTTTTGTAGGTATAGAAATTTATACTGATAATTTTTCTTTAAATTTTTAGAAGAACGCTGCTCTACTGGATTCTTCTTTGCATTGTTTCCAAAAAAGAAATCTACTGTTACCCTTATCTTTGTCCCTGTGTACGTGATATATGTTTTTCCTCTCTGGTTGCTTCCAAAATATTCTCTTTATCACTGATATTGAGCAATTTGATTATGAAGTGCCTTGGTGTAGTTTTCTTCATGTTTCTAATGCTTAGAATTTGTTCAGCATATAATCTGTGAACATGTTGGCTATTATTTCTTCAACTCAATTTTCTGTGTGTCTCTTTTTTCAAGGATACAAATGATATATCTATCAGGCTACTTGAAGATGTCCTATAGCTGACTGATGCTTATTTTGTTCTTCGAATTTTTAAATATTTTCCATGTTTCTAATTAACTTTTTGAATATATTGAATACAATATATTCAAAATTGTTTTAATAATTAATGTTATTTAAACAATAATAATTGTTTTAATATTTTCTGCTGACTCTAACATCTATGTTCATTCTGGATGATTTTGATTGATTTGTTTTCTATTTAGTGACCATATCTTCCTACTTTCTTCGTACATGGTAATTTTTATCAGATGACATTCTAGTTTATAAATCTACATGTAAATTATACACAATGTAAATTTACATTATAGATTTAACCTCATTGAGAGTTGGATATTTTTGTAATTTTATAAATGTTCTTTAAGTTTGTTTGGAATCCAGTTAAGTTACGTGGAAATAGTTTAATCCTTTTGGGTCTTACTTTTCAGAATGGTTAGGCAGATTCAGGACAGTGATCAATCTATGACCAATTATTTCTCACTGTTGAGGCAAGAGCCATCTGAGTGTTCTAATAATGTATTAGGAATTATGAAGTTCTCCAGTCTGGCGGATGTGAGCAGACACTGTTCTGGCCCTGGGTGAGCACTGGTCACCATTCTTTCCAATCTTTTTATGTGGTTCTTTCCCCAGCCTTGAGTGGCTTCCCCACATGTATGTGGTGATCAGCACTCAACTGAGTGCTCATGGGGACTCTTTGAAGATCTCAGAAGTTCTCTTTCTCTTTACACCTGTCTTCTCTTTGGTGCTCTGTCTTGTGAACTGTGTTCATCCCAATCTTTCCTGACTCTCAGCTCTGTCTCCATGACTCTGGAGAACACTTGATTCCACGTAGCTCCACTCTCGGTTCCGTAGCCTGGAAATACTCTTGATTCAATAACCTGGGACAATTGTAAGGCTTCTCTAATTTGTTTCTTATCTTTCATGGATCACTGGCATTTGTTGTCTTATGTCCATTAACTTGAAAAGTATTGTTCCGTATATTTTACATTTTTTGTTTGTTTCATGTGAAGTGTAGACTTGCTCCCTCTAATTCCATCTTGGATAGAAGCAGGAGTTCTTCACATATTCTTAAAATACAAATATTTACATGGTTGCAATTAGAGAATATGTCTCATATTACTTGCAAATAAACATATCTCAGACATTTGCAATACTTCTAAATAGTTTCATAATTGCCATTTTAATAGCTGCAAAATATTTCACAGTGTGCCAAATCTACTTGAGCACAGTGTATACATTAATGAGTGATTTATGTCCCATCTCTTACTAAAAATGAATTTCAGATGGCTTACTGACAAAAAGGCCTACTCAATAAGAGTAATAGAGTATGCATTAGAAGGAAAAATAAGATTGAAAGAAAAGAAGGAAGTAATAATGCCAGTTATGATAGTATCTGCTGTCATTGAAAGTAAAATTAGATTTTGGGCATTCTGGAAGTCCAGTGTGCCAAGTGTGATTAGGTACACTATTCTCATTATCAGAATTAAAAGGGGACCAAAAGAGAACTCACAGTTATTGAATGTCTACTATGTGCAACTTAAGAAAATCTCTAATAAATAATACTTTCTTTGAGTCTCACCTCACCCTTGTAATTCTTGCTCGGGATCCTAGAGAAAATGACAGAATAAGCCTTCAGATTCCTGAGAGTAAAATGGCCTGGCAGGTGTTCTGGGGCCAAAGCCACCCACACCACAGGCTCTTTCAGGATAATGACATTTTCCTTTGTACTAGATTCTGAGAGGAATTTCTCACCTGGGGCAACTTATATAGATGGCAGTGGGTGGTCTCATGGCCAATGTCTGAACAACAGCTTCACGCTAAATACAGAAGAGTATTTGTTTGTTTGTTTTGAGATACAGTCTCACTCTGTGTCCCAGGCTGGAGTGCATTGGTGCAAACTTGGCTCACTGCAACCTCCACCTCCCACCTTCCTCCAAAGGATTCTCCTGCCTCAGCTTCCCAAGTAGGTGGGACTCCAGGCACGTGCTACCATGCCCAGCTAATTTTTGTATTTTTGGTAGGGAAGGGGTTTCGCCATGTTGGCTAGGCTGGTTTCAAACTCCTGACCTCAGGTGATCCACCCACCTCAGCCGCCCAAAGTGCTGGGATCACAGGCATGAGCCACTGCACCTGGCCCAGAAGAGGTTTATGAAGAGCTGTTTTTTGCGATGGGTGTGACATTGAACTATGCTTCATTTGAGGAGTTTTTAAAGGAGGATACATTGAAATGGATTTCATATATATATAGCTTTCTTGGGAGGTAAGATTAACCAAGAATCGAGTTTAGTGACTCAGAGGATGGGATTGCTGTCCCCACACCTTCTTCCTTCTGTGACCTTGAACTAGTTCTTGAAAGGACCTGGATAGCTCATATTCCACTGCTTTTTGATGAGGGCCTATTTAATATGAATTAACTTCTCTTCCTCACAAGCTGCTCGATAACCCCTTGCAGTTCGATTTCTGTGTCCGAAACTGTACTGAAACACCCTTCCACCCCACCCAGGCATCTTTGTGGAATGACCATTGCCACTCGAATTTGGGAGCTCTCTTCTCCTTTTCCTCCTTTGACAACTCCTTCTCCATCAGCCTGTGACCTGTCCTCACAAACTCCCCATGTCCTATCCACTCCCTGAGGTCTTGCCATTGCCTCTTCCTCTTTGCGCTTTACATTTTGATATCTCCATTGGTGCCTGATTTAATCTTATTGAGCATGGGCTGCTGTTTGAGCTCGATGCTTGGAGCTGTAGAAGTAAACAGAGAAGAGCAATGCTCAGTTCCGAAATTAGTTTGTTCCTCTCTAGTAGGGGGATACTAGAGAAAAGCAAATCACTGCCAATTTTTTTAAAGAAGGAATTTAAAAGTTGTACAAACAAAGCAACTATGAATGCCCAAATAGAGGAATTGGGAAGAATTTCATGAAGTATGCAACTTTTGACACTGAATGTTGTGTGAACGTATATGCTGTTACCAGACTCAGTGTATGTGTTTCCCAGATTTACTTGGCTCCTCCTGTCTTCCCTGGGCAAATTGAGCCACTTGCTCATTGGGAATCCCAGGTGCTGCCATTGTCATTTCAATTCCTGGCACTGCTAGCTGTCCTAGCCTCCCAGGACAGAACAGGGAGGGTTTCCATCCCACACACTGAGGCAGGAGCCTCACCACCCCAGGGCCCAGGTCCTGTCTGACTGACTCACAGAGGCTATGGTTTCTTCCTTATCTTCTGGGCTCAGATGCAATGCCTTTCATGCCTACCTGCGGGAGTTGGTAACATAACCCTGAAGCGCAAGAGGGTTAATGTCTGATGGAATCAATTTGACCAAAAAGAGTCAACTAATGGACAGCACTAGGCTGTTAGCTCCCTCTCCCTTCGTCTCCTTGATGGGTTATGCCAAAAACTGGAAGTTCCATACCTGTCTGGAAGCTCTTCCTCAGGACTGAGTAGCTGTCCTATGCCCACTTTGGTCAACCCCACCTTGTACCTGCTCTCATTCCATCCCTGCCTCACCTTCCCCACACCCCCACTCTTGCCACCCTGAAATTGCACCTCCCAATGATGTCTTCTTGCAGAAGATTTGCTGCAGGCTATTTTCCAGAAAATCTGGGCTGCAATTCAAGCAGACAGGGGATGAGGCTTTCCAGGCAAAGGAGCCATGAGTGAAGTGCTGAGAGAGGAAGGCGGGTGTTCTGGGGGCCAACGTCAAGGGCTGACACAAAATCTCTCAGGCCGGCCTCTGCAACCTAAGGATGTCCCAGACTGTCCCATACCTGAGGCTGCTCCTGCCTGTCTCTCCTCAGGGTTTGTCTTTTCTCTGCCCATATCCACCAGTTGCAATAGCTCCAATATTAACGTTTTTTCTTAGCTTTGGTTATTTTCCAAACACATAGTCCATGTAGAATCAGAAAGCAAATGTCCTGAAAAAGATGTTCTGCTGTTCCTGAAGTTCCAGTGCAAAAGCTACAAAAAAAAGAAATGGTAAGCCCTCCCTACTCTGTGCTATCCAAACTATTTGGGATTTTTTTTTTTGCATTTCTTACATATTATCTTGTATCATTAATGATTCTACCAGATAAAAAGTTCCTTGAGGGCAGAGGTACAAAGTCGGCATTCTGCAAATATCAGTTGAATACATTTAGAAATCCATCTGAAAAGTTAGGATAAGGTCCCTTAAATCACTATTATAGACCTGTTCCTTAAATCATTGTTATTATTTTTCAAATGTGACTATACATATTATTTTGAATAGTATTGCAATCCACCAGCACAGTCAGAATGTCCTGACAGTTCTGTGCAAGGCCACATGCATGCGACTCAAGTCATGCTTTGAATCTCCAGGCACCTGCTGGCAAGGAGGGTTGCTCTGGTGTTCCGGGGATCAGTAACATGAGACTCCATCCACACACTGTGGAATCAAGGTTCAAGCTCATTGGGCCACTATAGGAAAAACAAAATGGGAGAAAATTTTTCACTCACTTATTTTATTTTGTTTTATTCTTTTCTTTTCTTTTTTTTTTTATTTTGAGACAGAGCCTTGCTCTGTTGCCCAGGCTGGAGTGCAGTGGTGCGATCTCACCACAGTGCAACCTCTACCTCCCAGGTTCAAACGATTCTCCTGTCTCAGTATCCCAAGTATCTAGGAACACGGGTGCCCACCGCACCCGGCTAATTTTTGTGTTTTTCATAGAACAGGGTTTTGCCATGTTGACCAGGCTGGTCTTGAACTCTTGACCAGGCTGGTCTTGAACTCTTGACCATAGGTGATCTGCCCACGTCAGCCTCCCAAAGTACTGGGGCTACAGGCGTGAGCCATTGCACCCAGCCTTCACTCATTTATTGAATATATTTTAGTACTTACTCTGTGCTAAGCACTGTGATGAGCAAATACTTTTTATTTTTAAATTTTTTTAGAGACAGAGTCTTGCTCTGTCCCCCAGGCTGGATTGCAGGAGTGCAGTCATAGCTCCCTTCAGCCTTAAACTCCTGGACTGAACTGATCCTCCCACCTCAGCCTCCCAAGTAGCTGAGACTCTAGGCACACACTACCATGCTTGGCTAATTCTTTTATTTCTATTTTTCTTTTTTTTTTTTTTTTTTGTAGAGATGAAGTCTTGCTATGTTGCCTAGGCTCACCCTGAATTTTGGGTCTCAAGCTATCTTCCTGCCTCAACCCCCAGAAGTGCTGGGAATGCAGGTGTGAGCTCCCATACCTGGCCCAAATCAATAGTTTTAAAAGTATAAGTAATAAAGGAACAGTAGCTATGCTCGTGCACAGGAACATGAAAGGTCATTAATTTCTTCCCCCTAGTTTCTTATTTCGAAAACTGTTCTCTATGTTTCTACATTTCACACTGTCTAGTTAATTTTCAGGATTTTTTGGAGCCATTACAGGAGGTGAGTAAAGGAAGAAATCAGAAAAGGACATACTAGAAGTATCAGGAATAACCATTTTTAGTTGAATACATGGACTCCAGAAGAAGATACAAGCTTGACAGTGCTCATGAAAAGATATCTAATTTTCTTAAGTCTTTGACTCTGGAAAGCCCTTTGAGCTACCCATTATATAACAAGATTCGGCAGGTTTTTTCTTTCTCCCTTCATTGACATCTTCCGGGGAAAATGCTGCATGATATGATTTTCAAGGCTAACTTGCCTTTTCCTGTTAAGCAGTGTCCCTTGTGACAAATTCACCTCCTATGCCTCCCTGAACTAGGGAGGCTCCTTCAAAATTCCTAACAGGCAGCCCTGTGGAGAGATGGGAGGGAAGGGATGGGAGGGAGGAAGGGCGGGAGGAAGGGAGGGAGAGAGAGGTAGAGTGTGTCTGTATGCGGCGTACATGTGGTACAGCCAGGGAGATCAGAACGCTCACAGAACAGGCAGTGCAATTCCATGTTCCTCTTAAGTATGTTAGCCCTACCGGGAGCTGAGCTGGCCAGTCTACTTGGAGAGGAAAAGTAGATCTGGGGAAGGTGGAAGGGTCAGTTCCTAAGTGACTTCCTCCTCGGGGATGGTAAGGGCATTTGCTGATCTCCAGTGACTGCCTGGTGCCTCATGGTCAGACTCGGCTGTCTCACTCCCAGATATCTGATTTTGCAAAAAGGGACACACCTATCTGCAGCAAAGAAGACACTGACCAGATTGCGAGCGGTATGTTGTGACATTCAGCATGTTTATGCAGCAGAATTGCTGAGAGATGCAGAGAGAGGGGGTGGCTCGGGCTGCTTGATTTATCTGCAATAGGGAATGTTTTATTTTAATTGTCAGTTAAAGGAAGAATTGCTGCCAGGGCGAAGGTAGCAGTTAAACATTCCGTGTTCTAAGCTTTCACGTTTGTGTTTGATGCGGTCTCCCTGTCTGTGCCGCTTTGCGAAGCTAGGGAGGGCTCACTTTTAAATAACCTGCAGCTTCCTATTTTCCTTCTTCTTTTTTTTTTTTTCCTCCCTAAGCACAGTTCCCACCCTGTCTTCCCTGACCTCCTCCCCACCCTGTGTGAAAGGTGGCCTATCTTCCCCTTGAGCCTTTTGCTCCCTAAGTCTGGATTTTGGCTGCTTTTTCTGCAGGTGCTTTTGGATGCTCTGTAGCCACCCGGGGCCCAGGAGGACTGACTCGGCAGCAGGATTCGTGCATGGGAATCGGAGACCATGGCAGTGCAGCTGGTGCCCGACTCAGCTCTCGGCCTGCTGATGGTGAGTGTTCAGACAGGAGGTGGGGCCCGGGCAGCGTCCACTCCAGCCTCCCCTGCACCGTGGGCTGCTGCTGCCGCTGCAGTGGCTGCAGACATGTTCAACATTGCTCCGCTTTATCCCGCAGGCTCTTTGGAAATGCTTTCTTGGGTCAGAGTATCAGCATGACAAAGCACTTGCAGGGAAAAGAAGCTGTAGATTTGCCATTTCAGAAACTTGTTGCTGAATGCTATTTTGAGAGCTGTGCTTGCAAACAGGTGCTAAGAGCCCCTCGAAATAGATTGCTAGGATGCCTCCTCCAGCTCCCAGCATCCTTTCCCCCTTGTCTTTTGCATCTAAATTGAGCTGATTGTGTTTGTTTTTGGATATCTTCTCAGGGCAACTGTGGAATCTGTTGCCCATGGGGTGACAGAATGGGGTCTTCTTTCTAGGCGCCCATATATCTGCTCATACTTTCCTGTAGAGGTGGTGGAGGAGGTTCACTGTGGCTTCAGTGATGCTTGGGCTACTGAGTTGGGAGCAGCTTGTTTCCTATCTACCATTGATGGCCAACCTTGGCAGGACTTGTCCAGGCATTTATCTGTGTGTGAGCAGCTGACTCACCTTATGCCCCTCTGGAATTTTCACCATATTAAGAAAGCCCTAGCTCTTACCATATTAAAGCACACAAGGACATGGGCACTGTCTTGTTCCAACCCAATTGGCTTTTGGCTTGACACTAGGTTCAGCAGTGGCTTTTGCCATGGTTTTGCATCTCTCTCCTTTCCCAGGGTTCCCACACACCACGGTAATACTGGCTGTTGTCGGAAGTAGCCTGCATCAGGCTTGGCATGGAAATGTTTCCAGCATTTACACAGGAGATTTTATGAACCAAGCATAAGTGCTTCTGTGTATATTGATTTGTGTCTTCGGAATGAGGAGGGGAAATGCAACTTTGCAAGGCCTGATGAGTTTATGGAGGTGACTTGGAAGAGCCGTCAGTGGGAAGCCTGCCCCCTGGGTGGCAAGCCAGGTCATGTTAAAAGGAACAGATATCTTGGTTCTTCGTTGCTCAAAATTCCACTGGGTCCACAGATTTAGTTGAATTGCCTGAAATCTATCTCATGGGCCTCTGCTGACTTCTCATTTCACTGGGGGAGTAGGACTAGAAGAAATGAAATTGTCAGTTTCCAGAGAAATTACCCATTACCTGACTTCTTTCCCTTACTAATTCTATCGTCTGATGATACTTTATCCTCCATCGTCTACCTGTGGTCAAATAAACTGGATAGGAATTTTCATTCCATCACTGAGTATTCGTGATGATGGCTGGCACTAAAATGCATTATCTATGGGGTCTAGGAGACTTCTGGGAACCTGGGAGCCTGGGTTATATGCTCTGAAATACAGGCACACATATGCACACACACACACACACACACACACACACACACATGCATATGTATATTATATTATCTAGTACACTAACAGAAATAAATCCTGCATCGTGTTAATATAGAGGAGAAAAGTTTTCTTGAAAAATATCTTTAGGGAGAGTTAGACCCGCTTGTCTCAGCCTCCTACTTGGACCTTTCTTCTATACTTAGAAGAAAGATGTGTATCTGCTTTATTCCAAGCCCCTAAGCATGAATCCTTGGTATCCAAATTAAATGAATAGCATCCATTTCTGCTGTTATACACCCCCCCCCCCCACCCACACACACACACAGGCTCTTCTGGTCCTGGGTCTTCCACATATTATGGCTGCTGTCCTGGTAGTGTCTACATCTCAGACTTCACCTTCCATTTGTCAGTGGCCTCTGCCCTTAGATCTGTCCCTGGCACTCTCCTCCTGCCCGGAAAAAAGGATCGTGTTCTCCTCTCTTGGAAACCAGGGGAAAGAGCTCTTGACACCCTGATGGACCGTTTGATTAAAGAACCCTGGAGTACCATGTGTAATCAAAGTCTGTATACATTTTCTGGTTCATGTTTAGTTCAGGGAAATTTTCCCCTATGGACTTTGGTGCTATTTTTTTTCCTTTTTAAGGGTAAACCCCAAAGTAATTGCTTCCCTGACATCTTGCATGATGCATCTTAAAATTTATAAGCAAGCCGAGGAGGAAAGAAAGGAGGAAAAGAGGCCATTTAGCGGAGTTGCTTTGGCTGTGAGTTCAGGAAGGAAGCTGTAAACATTATTATTTATGAGCTCATTCATCAGCCAATCAGTTGTCAGTATTTATCGCGTGTCTGCTCACTGAGGAAAGTAGCCTGGCATAACAGCAAGAGCCAGAGCTCATAAACACACAGTCTGTGGGAGGCTGATACCAGGTTGGTGGATTGCAGTTCTGATTTTGTGCTATGGAGTCATCGGGGCTAAGGGGTAGGTGGGGAGATGATCTGGCCACACCCCTTGCTTTTGGATAAGGAGACACCCAGAGGTTACATTCAGCTTAGATGCTAAATGCTTCAGGGCAGAGCATGTTTAATTGGTTACAGAAGCGGCCACAGAGTCTGGAGGGTTGGACAGCCCTGTGCTCCATTCTAGCCTTGCCACTCATTGAGTGATCCTGGGAATGTCCCTTCCTTTCTCTGCCTTGGTGATGCCATTTGCTAACTGAGAGTGCTCTCTGATGTCTAGGTTCCCTTCCATTCTGTTAAACACAATTTAAGATCTCTAAGAAACAGTGTACAGATGAAGTTCCAGGATAGCCAATTCGAGGGCTTTATTTAGCGTTATGTCTCTATTTCCAACCTTGCACATGAGCAGTATTGCTATGAAAATGGTGGAGTGTGTTCCCACTCTGGCTTTTATGCTAGGGCAGATATGTTTCATATTATTAGCTGACACGGATGATCATTAGTGTTCATTCATACTCTGCCATCAGGAGTCTACCCCACAGGAACCTAAGTTGGTCCATTGGACAAAAGCCAATGACTTTTGAACAGTGTCTCAGAGGCCTTTTCAAGCTAGGGCTGGGTTGCGGTCAGCTGGGAGGGGTCCCAGGTGGTAAGCATGCCTGGACCATCTTGAGGTGGGAGGACCTCACTGATTCTTTCAACGGACAGCTCACAGAGGGCAGTGATGCCTCTCCACACAGGACAGAGCCACTCATATGACCACGGAAGGGGGGACTTGGAGAGAAGACACATTCTGGTGGTGGAGATGGCCTTTTAGGCTGTTGAAAAGCTGCCTCTCCCATCTTTGCAAGAATCTCAGGCAGCGAAAGAAGATACTGCTGTGTTCACCAACCCGTGAGGAGGCTTCAGATTGATGTGACTAATTGTAGAGCGGGAAGCTCTTGGCTACGTGTCATTTGTTGAGGGCGTGTGAGTTCAGGGAAAGCTGCAAGGGCTGGAACATGCTAGAGCCGAGGATTAGTTTATCTTTAGAGCCAGGATAAGGATGAATAACCAAGGGGCTTCAAGGGTGTTATGATGCCATTTCGGTTCTTAGATTATAAAGGCTCACCTTCAGGACAGCTAGATTAAAATAGTTTTTAATGGAAATTAACTGGATAATAAATAATGCAAATTAAGCTTTTCTATAAATGAAGTGTCTTTAAATACATTATCTCATTTAATTCCATCCATGACCCTATTTTTAAGACCAAAAAAAATCTGATAATTAGAATTTGGGAAACTGTCAATGGTCACATAAGTGAAACTGATGAAGCAAGTTCTCAAAATCTCGGTCCTCTGAGTCCCAAGCCAGTGCTTTCTCTGACAGCATATCAAAGCTCAACAATTTGACTTCTAGGACCTTCTAACACTTTGGATTCGCTCCTGAAGTTAGCTCCCCTCTGAACCAGTCAGCATTTTCTGTGTTTCCAGGTGAGGAATCCTGTCTTTCTGTTAATCATCTGTTCTTTTCCATATTGAAGTGTAAAATAAAAAAGGGATACCACAAGTCTGGCTCAAGATGTCTGGCTTGACTCTAGCAAGAAAAAATATTTTTTTATATCGATGAAATAGCTGCCATTTTTTCAAGGTTCTATTCTCTCAGACTCTGTTTCTAGGAAATTACTGAGAGTCATATTTTATAACATAAAAAATTAAATGTATAAAAACTCAATTCACAAGTCAGAGAAGTTAGTGGGTGATTAACCACAATGAATGAAGAATGTCAATTGGATTATCCTGAAGTTTCTTTCCATTCTAAATATTTGATTTCAGATTTCTGGGCTTCTTTTGAATAGACCAGCTCCCTTGTCTATGTTTAATAGATTTCAATGGGTAACCTGCTGTTCTATGAGTTTATCTCCCTCATTTCATTTCTTTATAAATTCTTTTCTAAGCCATTTTCCTCCTTTGGACAATTTCCTTTTTAACTAACCAACAAATATTTGCTGAGTATCTACTTTGTGCAAGAAGAGTACAAGGCAGTGACTGGCTTTAGCATACTTACAGTCTAATTGTCAAGACAGGTTGGAGATACGCAGGAACTGTAACAATGAGAAATTTACAGGACGTCTTCAGAGAATCACATAAGAACTATAACAAAACAGTGCCTAACTCATCACCAAGTGAGCCCTAGGGGGCGCTGGTTGTCAGAGTGGATGAACTTGTTCTTGAAGTTCAAGCAAGATGTTGAGTGATGGATGAGTTAAGAGAGCAGATTTGAGGTGAGGGGAGTGGTTGAATACAACAAAGTCTGGATCTTGTTTGGGAGACGGGGAGTAGACTGGTTTGGGCAGATTTCCTGTAGGTGACAAAGGGTTGCAAGATCAGAAAGGCCAGTTGGAGATGTGATCAAGGTCCTAGTTCTATTACTATAATCTAATCCTTCTCTACATTTGACCTGTGAGAGGTCTAATCTGATAGATTCAGATTAGATCCTGAAAAGAGATTCAGAATTTGTAATAAGCCTATGGCTTTTCCGCAGATCCCAACTGTCAAAAAGCATAGAATAAAATTGAGTTTTGTCTTAAGGACTCTTGCTCTTACATTAATAATCTCTATGTTTTTCAAAGTGCGTTTGCAGATGTTGTCCCACCGGATGTCCTCAACACTCCAGGCAGGTTAGGCAGGACATCTTCCTATTATATGGTGAAGTTGGGGTCCAGAGAAGTCAAAGGGCTTGCCCAAGATGACTCAGATAATTTGCGATAAAATTTAGATACAGGCCAGGTGCGGTGGCTCATGCCTGTAATCCCAGCACTTTGGGAAGCTGAGGCAGGCAGATCACCTGAGGTCAGGTGTTTGAGACTAGCTTGGCCAACATGGTGAAACCCCATCTCTACTAAAAATACAAAAATTAGCAAGGCGTGGTGGGGTGCACCTGTAGTCCCACCTGCTTGGGAGGCTGAGGCAGGAGAATCACTTGAACCAAGGAGGCAGAGGTTGCCGTGAGCCGAGATCGGCGCACGCCACTGCACTCCAGCTTGGGTGACAGAGCGGGACTCCATCTCTAAATAAATAAATAAATAAATAGCATTAAGATAGTACTCAAGTTTTCATGATGGTTCATGCATATGTTTGAAAAAAAGTGATATTGACAACTTTTATGGAAATTTGGAGAATAATAATTACATAGTAATACAGTGAAGCCACCTAAACCACTGTATACAGAATGGGGCCATCCAGGCATGGGGCCCAGGGGAGAGGTCCTAGATATTTGGGTCTAAGGGCGAAACTAATATTTAGTATCATCTATCTTTCTGGTTTATTCATAAGTAAGATAATTGTCAAAAAGTCCCTGAGAAATGGTCATGTCATTGTTACCTCCAAGTCAGTGGCAAAAACCCTTCTTAAGCTTAAATTATTGCACCCAAGGTAAAATTTCCCAATGGGTATCTTTGAGATCTTGCTATTAATATTTTTAGTTACTATTTAGTGTACAAATTTATCTGTTTCAAATGGTGAAATTTGAAATCCATAACTGTAAAACTAACTCAGATGATTTTTTGCTAAATATATTTTTATTTCATTTTCTGCTGGACCTGTTTCTGTTAGTCTAATCGACAGAGACTAACTCAAACTGCTAGCATTGGCAGAAAGGGAAACTTACTGACTGATGTGACCAGGGAGTCTCAGGAATAAAAGAGCTCCAGGAGAAGCTGGATCAAGGACTTTGCATGGTGGCATCTGAACCCTGTTTCTCTGGCTCTGCCATGTCTTGGCTCTGCTTTTCTTTGTGTGGACTTCATTTTCTGGCAGATTCTTCTCCCAGCAGCTCTAGGGTTACTTGTTCTTAGAGTTAGTGAATGTAGGTAAATGAGCAGGACTCTCTTTCATGGTCATCTCTTACAAGCTGTCTTTGGATCTCTTGAATAACAGGCTCTTCGCGGGCCAATTACTGGGTACAGAGATGGAGATTTCTGACTAATCAGGCTGGCTAATGTGTCTAGACCTACTGAAAGGAAGGAAGGAAGTAATCAACTGGCTGATAACTCTGTCTGAATTACATGGGGTGGGAAAAGCAGGTTCCAAAAAAGGAAGAGCTGTATTATCAGGAGGGAGGATGCTATTTTATCAGAAGGGGATGCTAGGAAGGGCAAAAAGGATAGATACCCATTACAGTTGTCTGTGCATCTTGTATACCATGATAGGTAATCTGCAAAACTAGTCAGGGAGGTAAAGCATCAGTGAATCCCAAATCATGGCTTCAATTTTCCTCAAAATAAATATAAATGGAGAAGCACAATTGCCTAAATATTTTATGCTAGTTTGAACAAATCTCACCGTCTGTAAAATAAGATAATAATAGCTACCATGTAAGATTTGGGATAATTCAACCAGATATGCATGTAAAGTTCGTAGTGCTATTTTTGGCCCAAAGCAAATAGCACAGTATATACTAGTAGTCCCTTCCTTTGTCTTAAAAAGATATGAAATGATTGTCTACCTGAATTCATCTCATGCAACTCTTACATGAGACAAAATCCATCTAAGAAACAAGTTGCCCAGTTCTGTCTTTCTCCATCCCAGTCTCTGGACAATGAGTGACCACCTCTGGACAATCAGCTAACGCTTTTAGAAAAACAGATGTTCCTGTGGCCATGTGAGCCATTCTAGTTATGAGCAAATTTAAATTTGCATTCCTATCTTGAATAACTCACAAAATTTTCTTACCCTTTGAAGGGAGATGACTAAAATATGGGCTGCAATATGTTCTCTCTGGCAAAGGCAAAATGCGTGCATTTTACACATGATGGGGCAGCTATGAGTGCATCTCTGCTAAAAATTAATTGTACAGCAGCTTTGCAAAGTATAATAGTGGTTTGGAGAACATACATTACTGGTGCAAGTAGCAGTTTCTCATTGGCTTCTATGCCAGAATATGAAGCTTAATGGAACATACGGTATTTAGCCTGGTAGTAATCAAAGGTCCCGGAAACATGCTCTACCAAGACCATGTGGTTCGTATCAAGTGGGGAGAGTGAATTCCAATGTCAAGGAAACACTGGCCTGCAACTTCTGTTGCATTGTGATGAGTGCTTTTTATAATCCTGGATATTGAAATCTTAGCCTCACAGTCTGGACCTGAAGAAGCAATTTCCTGAATGGTAGATCCAATTCATCTTTCCAAGTACATCATGCACACCCATGGTTTTCCCTGTCATCTGTACGCTAATGGCTCCCAAATCATGTCTTTCACTCAGGCCTTGCCCCAAGCTCCTAGTAACTGCAAGTCCAAATGCTTTATCAGATTTATTCTCCTGCTTGTTCCACAGGTATGTGAAACTCAGAACACCTCAGCCCAGCTCAAATGTAGAATTTATGGTCTTCTCCCCAACCTTAGTTGGTGGTGGTGCCTTTGTGCTTGTTATCCTGGGATTAGCCTTGGAGTCCTTGCTTTCTGTCATCTACCTGGTTCAGCTAGTCATGGGCCATGCTGCTTCTGCTGCCTCAGTTTCTCTTGAATCTGGCCCCTCCTATGTACTCACGTCCCCTGCCTTAGTCCAGGCCTCTACTCTCTCATACCTAGTGTAGTAGTTCATTCTTGCATTGCTATAAAGAAGTACCTGAGAATGGGTAATTTATAAAGAAAAGAGGTTTAATTGACTCACAGTTTCGCAGGCTGTATAGGAAGCCTGGCTGGAGAAGCCTCAGGAAACTTACAATCATGGTGGAAGACGAAGAGGAAGGAGGCACATCTTGCATGGTGGGAGCAGGAGGAAGAGGGAGCAAAGGGGGAAGTGCTACACACTTTGAAACAACCAGCTCTCATGAGAACTCACTCACTGTCACAAGAACAGCAAGGGAGAAGTCCGCCCCCATGATACAATCACCTCCCACCAGGCCCCTTCCCCAAAACTGGGGATTCCAATTCAGACTTGAGATTTGGGCAGGGACACAGATGCAAACCATATCACCTGGGCTACCTGCAGGGCCTCTTACCTGGTCTTCCTGTTTCTAGTCTCTTATCACTGTTGCCTGTCTTCTGTACTTTTTCTAGAGTGTTAGTTATGAAATAAAGGTCTAATTTCTCTGCCTAAAATTCTCCAGTTGTACCTGATTTTACACAGGATAAGGCTCTAGCTTTTTAATATACCACATTACTCACTTACAGATCTGGTCTCTGCCTACCTGCCCAGCCTCATGTCCCAGGGTCCCTTCCTCCACCCCTCAAAATTCATACTCTCACAGTGTTGGACATTTCCTTCCCTGACAAATGATATGCAGGATTAAGCCTGTGCACTTCTGAATGTACACTTTCTATTCTTTGGAGTGCTATTCTACCTTCCTCTCTTTCTCCTTTATTTCATATATACATATATGAATTATATATATATTCATTCATATATATAATTCATATATATGTAAAATTTTACTTATCACTAGATGATATTTGACTTTTGTATCTGTTTTTCTTAATAGATTGTGAGTGCCTCATAAGTATAGAGTATTTCTCTATACTTTATTCATTTGTTTCATTCATTCATCCATTCATTTAACCCATCACATACTCTCTTCTGGACACTGTTTTAATAGGAGGGATACAGTGGTGAACCAGACAGAAAGTCTTTCTGTTGTCATCAAGCTTACACTCTCCTGGGAAAAGACAAAAATAAAAATAAAAATAACACATTGAAAATAAATAGAAGAACTATGAGTGCCCTATAGAGAATTAAAAATGGTTATTTGGAGACAGTGCTTGGAAGACAGCTTTAGAGGAGTGACTGAGGACGCCTTCTTAGAAGAGGTTGCATTTGAACTGAAGGGTGAGCTGCAAGAAGCAGGCAAGGGTGAAAAGTCATGGATGGGGCATTCCAACCTGGGCCATGGCCCCGGGGTGGGAAGGAGTTCAGCAGACTCCAGCTTCATGCACTCTTCTCGATATATTTGGTAATGAAGGTATTGATTGGCTGCTTCCTGGCAGCTTAGCACACACCAGGCTTTGGGAGGAATTTTGGTGAGTATAGTGCATGGCCCTTGCCTGGGAACTTATATCTCATTAGAGAAATAAGAAGTACTGAAAATGCTTAGGTCACACTGCATGTTGAGAAAGGGCCCTACATGGAAGGTATGGTATTTACTAACAAGGCATTTGAAGAAATCAGAGGCAGGGGCAGGGACAGGTGTGTGAGATCTAGAACGCTAGTCCACATGGTTTGTAGAAAATGGCGTTAAGCTATTTTGAAAAGTGTATATCATGTTGGCTGGGGAAGAGAGGGAAGGAGTAGCTTCCCAGTGGAGGGAACAAAATCATCAGGAAATTCAGGAGGAAATGTTAAACCGCCAAGGGTGGGGTTGGGGAGGGCAAATGTGGGAGTATGAAAGGAGGGATTGATATTTTGCTAAAGGGTCTGTGTCATGGAAGAGATGGACTGCTAGCTAAAGAATAAGGCAAGACATTGCAAATGCTCTTGGGGGCATCTGGATTGGAGCTGCAGGCACTGAAGCCTCTCCAGGTTCTTGGATTGGACTGACTTAATGGGCAGGCATGGGAAGTGGGGTGTTTAATCTAGTGGTGGAAGGCAGGGTGTGCTGGGGACATTGGAGGGAGAGGGCCAGTTTAGAGGCAATTGCATGAATTTGGGCGGGAGGTAAAGAGGTGGCACGGAGCTGACAGTAAGAAAAGAGGAAGGGGAATGAATTCTGAAACATTCTGAAGGGAGAGCCATCAGGATTGGATGGGAGATGGATGACAGGGGACACGCACAGGGAGGAGCCAGCTGGGACAACTCTGTGACTCCTGGAGGTGCAGGGACCATGACACATACAAGCCACTCTGGAGTGGGAAATACCATTTGAATAAGAATAGCTTTCTATTGACTGAGGACTACAGAGGTGAAGGTGCTGAGGAAATAATGAGATTTGCCAGTAGAGGTGGAGGGTGGGCAGTTGGAGGTAAAGGCTGGGTTAGGTCCTGGATTAGATTTGGTATGGGAGGCAGATCTGGCAGTGGCACTGAAGCTCAGAAATCCTGAAGAGATTATAGAGAGGAAATAACAGGAGGCCAAGCCTGAGAGAGGTGCATTCTAATGGAGTGTAATCACCTTGTGATGCAAGACAGTGTTTGTACCCAATCAATGTTCCCTCGACTTTGGAATTAATTTTCTTCACATTGAATGTGCCGCATGGCCCCATTGAAGAAGTCTTGGTGATTTTTGCTATTAATAGATGCAGGTTAAATGCAGTTCCATTAGATGACGGCACTTCCTCAAAGATTTCTGTAGGCATGGCCGAACTAGGAACATATGCATGCAAACTATTACTAAACCTCACAAGGTGGCTGTATGTATTTATCATGTGTGTGTGTGTGTGTGTGAGAGAGAGAGAGAGAGAGGAGAGAGAGATATTCAGTTACTACTGCTGTAAAACAAACTATCCCACACTTTGTAATTTTTGTACAAAATTCAGTATTTTGTTACACTCATAAATGTTATGGGTCAGGAGTTCCAACAGAGTACAGTGGGAATGGCTTGTCTCTGTTCCACACTGGAGCTTCAGCTGGGAAGAGCTGATGGCTGGGGTGATTCAACAACTGGTCTTGGAATCTTCTGGAGATAAGTCTTCACTCATATGTATGGGTAGATGCTATTGTTAGCTAGACCACAGCTGGTTCTGTGAACCATAACGTTAGAGTCTCCCCACATGATGTGGGCCACCTCAAAATATGGCTGCTTCAAGGTAGGTGGATTTGCAGAGTGACCCAGGCTCCAAAACTGAGTATCTGAGCTAGCCAGGCAGAGCCATATGATCGCTCATAACCTAGCCTCAGAAGTCATGCAGACTTGCTCCTGTTGCATTTCCTTGGTTACAAACAAGTCATTAAGGCTAGATCCAAGGTGAGAGGATATAGACTGCCTCTTGATGAAGGACATGTCGATGTGGTTCAGGACATGTTTCAAGCCACCACAGGGTATGTTCATTCTATGTAACTTGATTCTATGTTCCTTGATGCTCTTTTCTGAATTACTCACAAACTGTCTATGGGACTTTACTCAGAGGAAACATTGTATAAATATTGATTGAATGAGTGATAGGTTGATATCTGAAGGAGTCATTTTTTTTTTTTTTTTTGCATACTAGCAAAGAGCTGCCTTTTGAGTTTTCCGATTTTCATCCAAACTCTGAACATCTGGGGCTAACATGTGCTTAGTGCATGTCACACCTTCAAAGAACACTCAGAGGATGTGTAAATCCTGGTCAGCCTGCTCTGTGACCTCTGAGGTCCCAAATTCAGTTCTTATTGATGATTGGGAGCTGAAAAGGCAATAATGTTTTTTTCCTTTACATGCTTGGCCTTGGGACTAATAACTTGTTTTGTGTCTTTATTGCCCATGTGTCAAGGTAAAAAAAAAAAGGTGGGGGGGGATATAGCTTGGTATCAGGACTGCAATGCTTTCTTTTCTCATGAGGGAGTGTGAATGTAATTGAGCCATAATGAACATGGCTGAGGTCATTTCCTAGGGATTAATGAACAGGAGACTATGTTTGGGGCCTGAGGCTGAGTCTTTGGTCATTAACCTAGTTGGTCATTAATATTGTTCAGGAATGCTTTACGTTAGGCCATTACAACTAGTGCCATATGCTGCTACAATGGGGAAACATGAACATTACCTGTATCAACAACTATTTGTTTTCCTTCTATTCTCTACAATTACTGAGTGAGGTAGCCTCTTTAATACACATCCCATGGGCATGAAGCACCAACGGCAGGGAAAATTTGAAGCGGAGGTCCTTTGAGTGTACATCCTTTTATATACTTTGAATTTTCTAGCAAGAAAATGCATTAAAACTCAGACTCTGTATCTAGACAGGACAGTTAGTTATTTGGCCTGTTCAGAGTAAAATCTGTGACTATTTTTTGGACTCCTTTGGCCTTCTTTTTTCCCAAGAAGAAAGAACTGGCTTTCTTCCTTTTTTTTTTTTTTTTCCGTCTCTTGTCTTGTCTTCTCCTCTCCTTTCTCCTTCCCTCTCCCCTCCTCTTCCCTCCCTTCCTGTTCCCTTCCTATTCTCTTCTCTTCTCTTTCCATTCCTTCTCTTTGTAAAAAGATTTTAAGAGGGTCTCAGTCAGAGATATTGTGGTATGTGCTGAGGATATGTGGATATGTGTGTAAATACCACCTAGTCCCTGCTCTCAAGAAGTTTAGAGTTTAGTTGGAAAGGCCAATAAACAAACAGTTGCAACACAGTGAGATAAATGTGATGGCAGAGAAATAGTCAAAATGCTATAAAGCACAGGAACACCGTGCAGAGACTTCTAAAGTAGAGCTGAAGGTTCTGGAGGATTATAGGTGGGTGAGGTAAGTGGTAGTGGACAGTAGTTCCAGGTACAGGGAACAGCATACATGAATGCAATGGGAGAGTCACACGTCCCAGCAACTATGTGACATTTGGGTATGAGGAAGGCAAAAAGGAATAGAGAAAGAGAGGTCAAGATCCTGGCTGGGGGCAGACACGAAATGTCTTCAGAATAAATGGCAAGGAGTTTGAACTTTATCTTGAAGTCTACAAATAGTCATCAATGATTTTAAGTGGGGAAGGACATGATCAGAGTGCAGATGTAGAAATATCATGCTGGAAATGATATGGAGAATAAATTGAAAGAAGAGGTGAATCTGAGGCAAAGGAATCTGAACAAGGAGATATTAAAGTCATACAATTGAGCGACAAAGTGGACTTGAACTAATGCCAGGAAAAGCGAGAATGGGAGAGAGTGTGGATTCTTGAGTTTCACATGGGAACTTCCAGTGGATGGTGCATATTGACTCTCATTAAGAACTAAATTAAAAGCTGCTTAAACTGGCTTTAAAACAGGACACTTCTTTAGTTCACATATTAAGTCCAGGATGGAGTTGTTCCTAGGCTGTGGCTCTGGTTCCACCCATCCCCTGTTACCACTAGATCTTTTGGCTCTGCTCTTATCTGTAAGCTTTGTCTTCAGCCTGATATTCCTCATGTGGTCACCAGATTGCTGCCTGCAGCAACTGTTCAATATGCTTCCTTGTTCAAGCTTGGGGGAAAGAAGAAACATCTCTCCTCAAAATGGGAATGATAAATTCTTTCTTTCCTTCTGAGAGGACCAACTCAGGTCACTTTCCCTCCCCAGGAAAAAGACTCAAGCACTGATTGGCTTAAGCCTGGTTTCTTCTTCTTCTTCTTCTTTTTTTTTTTTTTTTTTGCTGCTATCACAAAATACTAGAGACTGGGAAATTTATAATGAACATAAATCTATTTTTTCACAGTTCCACTGGACAGAGAAATCCAAGATCGAGGAATGGGCATCTGGGGAGGCCCTTCTTGCTACATCATCCCACAGCAAAGGCAGAGGGGCAAGAAAGAGCAAGAGGGGGCTGAACTCACCCTTTTATAACAGCACAATTCCACCCATGAAGGTGGAATCTTTATGACCTAATCCTCTCTTGAAAACTCTACCTCTTAATATTGTTACAATGACAATTAAATGTTAACATGAGTTTTGGAGGGAATAAATATTCAAACC
Organism: Homo sapiens; assembly: GCF_000001405.40. Lineage (NCBI taxonomy): Eukaryota > Metazoa > Chordata > Mammalia > Primates > Hominidae > Homo > Homo sapiens. The sequence continues at coordinate 14,316,187 of NC_000010.11, read as the reverse complement.
ACAACACCTGGGATCCTCAACTGGACACTAGCCAAGAAGCATGGAATCACTATGCTTGGATCAGATATATCAATATCTACTTCTAAAGCTGGGAATGGGGTAGATTCCCATGGTCTCATACAAGGGAAAAAGAAGGTGGATGTGGTTGCTGCATAGGCAATCAACAGTGTCTATGACTAGAGCACAGAGCAGGGCACCCAACCCACCTGGTAGAATTGGAGATCAGTATGTGGACTATAACTTTCTTGAGAACAGGGACTATATGTCATCCACCATTGATTCTTTAGCTCCTAGCTCAGTGTCTGGCACATAGTAAGTGTTCAGTGGACATCTGTCACATGAGTAAGGGCATGTGAGAGGAGCTAGTATCTGAACTTGAAGGTTCAGACCAGGTGATGCAATAAGGGAATAGTTTAAGGCAGAATTTAAAGTATCAGGAAGAGTAGAGGATCATATGGTTGCATGATACCTTTTGAAAAGTCATGGAATTTAGGGGTTCTGAAGCAAAAATGGAGGAAAAATCAGAAGATGAAGCACAATACTCTGCTGAGGAGCTTGATCCATATCTTGTAAACAATGGAAAGCATTAGAAAAAACTTTAGGCAAGAGAACAAAATAATCAGATTTGCATTTTGACTGGATCACTCTGCCAGTGATATGTAGAAAATTGCTGTAGGAACACAGGTAAGAAATGATTAGGTGAAATCAGCAGTTGATTAGCTTTTACTCGCATACATGAGGCAGAGGGAGGAGGCAAGGATGACCTCAGATCTTTATGTTGGGTGAGGAAGAAGGTGGAGATCACAGAAGAAATAGGTTTCTAAGGACTAATGATATCTTTTTTTTGGACACATTCATTTCAAGGATCCATGAGACATTCTAGTGGAGGTATGTAGCTGTGGTTAGAGGTATGTATGTGAAGCTTGAGAAGATTATGGGCTGGACATACATATTCAGGGTCATCAATATTCGGGTGATGGTTAGAAAGGATGAAAACCACCTGGGGAGAATAGACAGAGAAGAGCCGGGATCCATGGATGAGGCATTGAAAGGGGAGGGAGTGGAAGGAGAGTCCGTAAAAAAGGCAAAGAAAGGAACAGTCAGAAAGGTAACTAGAATTCCAAGAGAATATAATTTGTCGTATAAAGAGAGTAGAAACTTTCAAGAAAGACAAAAAAGAAGTGATGAAGAGTTAGGTACAGCAGAGAGATAAAGGAAAGTAAAAATTAAAAAAAAAACTATATATAAGATTCGCCAATCACATGGCATGGTGACTTTATAGTGAGATGCTTCTTGAGTATAATATACTCAGACCCAGGCTGCAAGTGAATGAGGAGGAGATAGGAGGTGAATGAGTAAGCATAGAGAGGATAAATTTGTAGGCGATGGGGAGGAAAGACATTGGATGGTAGCCTGAAGAGTCGGACGAAACCAGGGAGAGATTTTAGAGATGGGAAAACGGTGAATATTGCTATAAACTCAAGGAAGGAAGCTCAGAGAGATTGCAACATGAAAAATATGAGTGGGTGTAGATGTTGACAGTGCTTCCCCTCATGGTTCCAAGATGGCTGCAGCAGCTCTAAGCATCGTATCCCTTGCACCTGTGTCCAAAAGCAGAAAGAGGAGGAGTGGTAAAGAGAGCTCTCCTTGTGTTTCTTTTTATCAGGGAGGAAAATCTCTCCCAGAAGCTCCCCAGAACACTTCCCCTTATTTTTCACTGGCCAAAATAGGGCAGGTTAGCTCACATAGCCTCCTCCCATAACCCCTCACCAGGATGCCTTCCTAAACTATAGAGGCTGGAGATCTTAAAAGATACATTTTCTTGCCTTCCTTACAGCTAGGGTCCTGTACGTGGCCTGACTTCCACCATGCCAGCTCACTGGTGCCAGCCATGGAGAGGTGAGGTGAGAGTGAGTAGCTCGAAGGAACAGTTGTGGATCAGATTTTCTTGCATGCGAGGTGGCAAAAGTGTTAGGTTATTTTGGACCAGTTCCTGTGGAAGTGCCAGTGTCTGCTCTTTAGTGTCAGAGGTGGTGGCTGAATGACAATAGTGGCATCTTTGCTGTAACAGTCTTGAGCTGTGGTTGGGCATTTCTTCTGGCTTTCTGGCAAATGTGCTTGGCTATCTGGTTTTCCCATATGTTCTTAAACTGTCTAATATCCAGTAGTAAATCCCTTTCTGCTTAACCTAATTAGGGTGGACTTTGTTGTCTGCAACTAACAATCCTGAAAAATACACAAGGCAGTTATCATGGAGGCTGGGGAAAAGAGTAGCTGCATTTTTAGGCTCTTCCTGTAGGGAAGAATATACAGAGTAATGGCTGCTGTGCAGACAACCAAAAGAATCTTCTAGATAAGTGTGGATATAGATAGGTCTGTGAATAGAATAGATGAGATAGATGCTTTCTTTTATTTGTTACATGAGTTTCTTAGGGGGATTTCAAAATATTGAAAATATAGTCATCATTCCATGAAAGTGATCTACGTGAAAGAATTGTTCATACAAACATCTGTCCCTGTTGCATCTCTCTTTACACAGCTGACACCAATCAGATTCCTGTCCAAATCTGAGAGATAATAGTTACCAAATAGCTGGAATCTAATGATCAAAAAGAAAATAGAAAAACAAAAAACATTGTCTCTTTCGTAAGCATTATAATTTCAGTTATGATTGTGTACACAAAGAGGCAATATGACAAAGATGTTTCTGAAACTCTTCGTAGATAATTAACCATTCCAATATTGGTTCCAAATCCTTTTAACTGCTAATATCATTTTTTGCAAATTAATTTTTTAAATTAGTTTTTATTTATTTATGTATTTCTGAGACAGGGTCTTGCTCTGTTACCCAAGGTGGATTGCAGAGGCGCAATCATAGCTCACTGCAGCCTCAACATCCTGGGGTCAAGTGATCCTCCCACCTCAGCCTCCCGAGTAGCTGGGAATACAGACATGTACCACCACACCTGGTTAATTAAAAAAAAATTTTTTTTTTTTGGTAGAAATGAGGTCTCACTATATTGCCCAAGCTGGTCAGGAACTCCTGGGCTCAAGTGGTTCTACCATGTCAGCCTCCCAAAATATTGGGATTACAGGTGTGAGCCACCACTCCTGGACTTAGTTTTTAAAAATAAAAATACGTTTACAAGTTTAAAAAAAATACAAAGGGTTATACATTAAAACCAGGTTTCCTTACTACTCCAGATTCTTAATACTTTAGTTTCTTGTGTATCCTTTTGGAAATTATCTGCACATATGCAACATCTTCCCTTGTCAATTCCAATAGTGTTAACTCATTCTTTTTTATTTATTTTCTTTTTTTGTGACAGGGTCTCACTCTGTTGCCCAAGCTAGAGTGCAGTGGCGTACTTGCAGCTCACTGCAGCCTCCATCTCTCAGGCTCAGGTGATCCTTCCACCTCAGCCTCCTGATTAGCTGGGACTGCAGGTGCCCACCACCACACCTGGCTAATTTTTTGTATTTTTTTTATAGAATGGAGTTTTGCTACCTCATGCTGTGTAAGTGCTTCCTAGTATTATATTGTATGAATGACTCATAATTTATTTAATCAATCCCTCATTGATAGACATTTAGGCTATTTTTAATATTTTATAATTATAAACTATCCTGCAATGAACATTTATGTGCATATATCTTTGTGCATATGGCTTGTGTATAATGTAGGATAGATTCCTAAATAGATGATGCTGGATCAAAGGTATATCATTTTAAATTTTTGTAGATATTATAAAATTATCATCTTCAAAGGGATATCATGCGAATTAGTTTTTAATTCTACTTTTGAAGCTCCAGGAAAATGAGAACTGATTCTAATAGGCTGATCAGAAGTACGGAGACTACAGGAAAAGTGAGCTATTCTCTGAAGGGTGTTAAGAATCTTACTGTGTAAACAATTACAGCATTAAATGTCTACAGAATTCAAGTGGCAAATGAGCAGTGAATATCAATTACACATCTGCTGCCTCTCAAAGGCAGATGGCCTTTTAATTTTGTATCCCAAGAATCATACCCAAATTTCATGCCTATTCTCAGAATGCTCCCCGCTCTTTCTTACTTTCACTGAGGAAATGGTTTATGACGCTTTTCAAAGATCAAATTAATTTAAACCTAAAGCACAAAGAAACCTTGCACATTTTACTGAACAGATATCTAAGATTGAAATTTCATCTATGAATACATGCTGAGCCCTGGTAATTGTTTAACACCAGGGAGTTCCATATAAGAAAAATTTTAAGACATGGTCCCTCACTTCAATGACCTTATGCTCTGGGTTGAAAAATCAAGATACTCTCTAAAACTTGAGTAACAAAAGGCCAGATGAAATGGAATATGTAAGTGCTCAACTACATAGTTTATTCATGCTTGGAAATACAAAGAAGGAAGAAATCACTTTGCATAGGAGTCGTCAGGAACCTCTGAGAGACAGATGGGGGTTGGCTTGATTTTGTGGGGCAGGAGGGAGAAGATGGAACAGCCCTGGAGAGCAAGACGTGGCTGCCATGACCACCTGGAACTGAGTAAGGCATGAGCTGGAGGGTGAGCAAAGATGGAGAGGGGAGAGAGAGTGTGAGAGATGGCAGAAATGAGTGTGGGTGGGAGGGTGGGGGGTACCATGTAGCAGAAGGCCACGCTTGGTAGGAAAAATATAAGAAATAATATAAAATGAATTGGACATACTGGAAAGGGCATTTGCAGGGAGAGAGGATGTGTAGTGCATGCAGCATGGTCCTATAGAACCAGATGGCTCATGTTCTGGGATCTCACACTCAGCCGGTTGAATTGGCATTGAAACTTTCTTAGAAAATGTGACCCTTCTTATGTTCCAAAGCTTTGTGAATTTATCTAAATTGGTCAGTTCTACAAAGGTCGAGATAGCTGTTTTCCAGGATTCAGGGAGATGTTCAAGAAGCTCTTCTTCAATTAGGGACTGCGATGGTGGGGGAGGAGGAGGTGGAAATTCAGGAGACAGGTGGGGAGGCTTGTGTGGGATTCCAAGTGTGGGACCACAAAGGGCTCTGTTGCTGGCGCACTGGTGGCCACAGACACACAGAGGGATGCAAGCCAGGAAACACCACCTTGGGGACATGTAAAGAAGGTGACAGAAGAGTCTATGAAACAATCTAGTAAGCTCTCATTGAGGGTCTGCTGTGTTTGAACCCCATGCTAGTGAAGCGGCATCCTTCAGCTGGGGAAATTACCCAAGATTTGTTGTCTCAAAGCCACAGAAAACTAAGATGGGGACACACAAGGAGCGAGCTTAAGAGCAGAAAGTTTAACAGTGAAAGAAAAGAGAAGAGCTCTCTCCTGCAGAGAGAGGGGTCCTGAATGGGTTTCTGGTCCATGGTGAAATGCAAGGGATTCTATAGCTGAGCTTTAGGAGGCAGTGTCTGATTTACATAGGGCACATAAGATTGGTTGGACAAGGTGTGCCATTTGCATAGGGCGCAAAAAACTGGTTCGGGCTAGGTGTGCCCTTTGCATAGCGCTCGAATTTCTGGTAGCCCCCACCCTAATCGTTTATTATGCAGATGCTTTTGCTACCTGGCCGGCCCTGTGCCTGTTTCTTTACTGTACACGTGGTGACAAAGAAAAGGGAGGATGGAGCCTCCATGTTGAACATACCTGGCTTCCAGGTAGCCTTTTTCCTATTGGCACAGCGGCCAGCATTCACCCGTGCAAGCTTTCAGCTTGCTTATCTATGTTTGCAGCTCAATTTTTCAGGCTGCTCTTTGTTAGAAAAGAAATTACTCTGGGGCTGCTTTTTGTTAAAAGGGAAATTCTGCCGAGGACTCTTTGACCCTCACTGTCTGCCTAAATAATTTCTTTCTAGCTCCTGTATCATTAGTTGCCTGAGGGGAGTGAAAAGCAAACCAGGAGAGCTCCTTCATTCAGGGAGTTAGGATGCGGGCAAGTTGAAGGCCAGTGAAGGCCAAATTGAGTGCGTAAAGAAATGAACAACAAAACCCAATAAGGCGAGAGCTCAAGGGAAGGGCTGAGCAAAATGCTGCAGAGGCCCAAAGCCGAGGCAGATCCCAGCCAGCTGGGGAGGCAGGGCCACATCCTCGATGAGAGGTAGGATCCTCGAAGATGCATTGGGGTTCAACTCACAGGGTTAGAGAAGCTGGGAGAGCAGCACCCCAGCACTGAGATGCACGAGGGCGAAGGACATCACAGGTGCTGGAAGAACGGCCAGTCTTGCTGGGGGTTCAGAAGGAGGGAATGCGGGGAGGGTGCAGGGGACGGTGGGGGACTCAGGCCAGAAGGGATTTTCTTTCAGCCTTTACATTTAAAGCTGAAGAATAGGTTTTGAAATAGGAAGGAAACGAGGATTCACCACAGATTCTTGAGCAGGGAGTTACGTGATGAGAAGACTACGTTGGGAAGAGGAAATGGTCGTGGGCTGATCAGTTAGGAAATGACTGCAAGTCTTCAGGGAGGCATACGGAGCCTGAGGGGTGAAAACACTGGACCCACTGTTAGATATGGAGGCAGGAGGGGGGCCTGGAGGCTGGGGTTCGAATGCTGCTCAGTGAAGCCTTAATGACTGGTGGCTACCTCGGGGGTTCTCAGAACTTAAATGAACCAGAACTGCCTTGGAAGTTTATATAAAATCCATGTTTCAGAGCCTTAACCTCTGAAGTTCTAATTCTCTGAGTCTTTGGTGACTCTATACGGTTTTGTTGTTGTTGTTGTTTGTTTTGTTTTGTTTTTGTTTTTGTGACAAGGTCTCCCTCTGTGGCCCAGGCTGGAGTGCAGTGGCATGATGACAGCTCACTGCAGCCTCGACCTCCTTGGCTCAAGCGATTGTCCCGCCTCAGCCACCTGAGTAGCTGGGATTAGAGATGTGAGCCATTACACCCAGCTAATTTAAAAAATTTTTTTAGAGATGAGGTCTCACTATGTTGTCCAAGCTAGTCTTAAATTCCTGAGCTCAAGTGATCCTCTTACCTTGGTCTCCTGCGTAGCTGTGATTACAGACGTGAGCCACCATGCCCAGTCTACATGTACGATTTTTAACAGGCGATGTTGTTGAAAGTGATTGCATGTTGAGAAATTCTCTGTCCCCTAACATCTTTATCTGTGAGCCGATTGTGGTTTGAATCTAGGCTTACATAAAGTGCTTTTTATTTTTTCAACAAAAACGGAGACGGAAGGAAAGGCAGGTGTCTAAGTGGAAATACCACTGAATCTTTGAATAACTCTCCAGGTACATTTAAAAATGCATGGGCTGAATGAATTTTCATAGTCGTTCCCCGTATTAGCAGCATCTTGTAGGATAACTAACCAATGGGTCATTTGGTAGGTCACGTTTTCAACTTATGTGAAAACAATTTGACCAGTTTCTTCAAGCCCAACCTGATTTTGTAAGTACCATGTGATTATGGGGGACTGGTTTGTATTGCCTGGGCCTACTGGGAAGACAGCAGGGTATCAGGACATTGTTTTCAAACAAATAGTGATGTGATTATGAACACACTTCATGGCTTAAAGCTTTTTGAAGAATGCTCTTGTCATTAAACTGGAGAATAAACTTAAAAGAGGTACAGTAACTACTCAGAGATAAAAAGACATGTATAGGGGCCAGGGGAAGGAGGGGATATCTTTGAATTCAAAAAAGAGTTCACTAAATCATAGGAAAGCAGGTTGTATTTTTCCCTCAATCTGCTCCTGCATAATTTTAGTCTATTTTTCTAATTATGGAAACAGAACAAGAAAAATCCAGACTGCTGTTCGTATTCTCACTACTTCCCTCAAGAAAAAAAAATAATAATAAATTGGTAGTCAGTATCCATGCCAGAAAAAATGAAACAAAGACGAGATGTAAATTTTCTTTGTGCAAATTATCTTTGGCACATTTCTTCCCCTTCACTTCCCAAAGTCATTTAAAAGAGTGTCATTCAAGACCAATTAAAGGGATGTGGATGAGGAGCCACGAGTTTACAGTTGGTATCAATCAATAGTGCAATTTGGTCATCAATAGAGTTTGAAATGCTCTTCAAAACTGGCTTCATTTGACTCTAGCTAAAGGATTAGAAATGCAACTTCATTGAGCAAGTCCTCCTTTGTTTGAAAGACTGAGCTTCCAAACCCTGAAAATTAGTGTTTCCCTTTATTGTAGTTGTCAATTCAGCAGGGAGAAACTCTATCTATGTACTTTAGCATATTTGCCGCACAGATTTTGCCACCAGCCTTCAACAACTCATCTCATAATGAATCCAGTGGAGAGAGGAAAAGAATGAGAAGGTAGAGAGTGAGAAATTGAAGTAAGGACCCCAGTAAAGAACTAGGACCCAGGGCTAGAGTCAGTTCTAAGGTGAATACAAACATCTCTTTCTCTCAGGTGTGCCTGTAACTCGCGGCTCTTTTAAGACTGATTCCCTTATCGTTCGTGGAGCTCGGTGAGAGGGGATGCTTGAGAAAGCATATAAATGTAACTGGACAAAAACTGTCTGTGGGGTATCCCAATCTCTTCTCCTTATTTCTGAAAGCCCCCCAATGGAGTTGGACTATTCCTATCACACAAGGTGTCAAGCTAGAAGGACCACTTTGTTTCTTGCCTGTAGGTTTCCTTCCGTAGTTAGCTGAACACGTGTAGCAGGTGAGAGAGATGCTCCAATCAAAGGGACAGAGTTTGGGCTTGTAGTTCTGGCTCTGGATGGTGTGGAATTAAAAAGAGAATAAACAGAGGCTTAGCATTTGCTCTTCAAGATAGATTTCAAACATGTGGTGTGAATGTCACTAATGACAACCTCAAGCCAGGACAAATAAGATCTGTCATGCGCTCATCCTCTTTTTCTTTTGATGGCTAATTTTTGAGGGGAGTGAGTTCTCACTTGTGGACATTCTCCCTGATTGGCTAACAGGGCTTTGCGCAAGGCCCTGAGCCTTCCTGCAGTGCCGATTTTCTTCTCTGTATACTTTTCTCGAATTCATTCTTGGGTTCTAAATGAGTAGCTTTGCGAATGCATATTTTGCTTCTAGTGACAAATGAATGCAAATGTTTTCTCAAAGAAAAGTATCAGAAGTCAGAAACCATGAATCAAAGAAAATTAATAAGCAATATTAATGGCTAATACATGAGAATGGATTTGTAAACAGCAGAAGCATTTGCCTGTCATCAATGTAGTTGCATTTCATATGTTTTGCATGTCCCTGGTTCCTATGTTAGGAGTAGGAGTGTGGTCTTATTGGAAGCTAAAAATGTTTTCTTTATAGGATTATGAGTTTGCTAAATGTTGTACCTGTCCTTAGTTCCTCTGCCTTCTCTCCCCATCCCGCCCCATACACACTAAAATTGCTTTAGTTTCAGAGTTTCGAATATATAAAGTAAAATCATGGCTTTAAAATCCTGGACAAATCATTTTACCTTTTCAAGAGCTGGAGATATTTAAAATAAAATTTTCAACCATTACCCCTTAAACAGAGAAACCTCCACTGAATGTCCACTGAGTCATTATCTCCACCTTTCTTCTTTTTTGTAACTAGTGCATTCCCCTTACAGGGGCATAGGATCAAACAATGAACTTCATAAAATATCAGAACAGACTCCCAAAACTCTTTTCCATGGAGAAAATGAGCAGAGGCCTGGTAGAGAGGGCCTGTGTTTTTCATATATTGAAATTCAGAGTTGCTCAGGACCTGCTATTATAATGTCTATAACCTTGAAACGAGCATTAAAAAGATTCTGTGTCATCTCAGTTTGCTCAGCTGTTTGCTGTATTATAAGCATTATCTGGTTACTATTTCTGGCTCCATTTTGGAGCATCTGTGGGCTTCTCTCGGGTAAACTTTTACTTTCCCACGATGATAGTTCAGATGACCTCTCTGTGTTGGGAACAGGCGTTTCACCGTTCCTTCCTCTTTTCTATTTTGGACTTGGCTAATATGAATTTTTACTCTTCTGCTTTAAAACATGTATATAATTTCCTACAGGAAAAACTTTTATGTTTCTCATCTAACAGTTGTGTGAACAGAGAATTTCTTTCTTTTTTAAAAAAGATTTCCCCACTTTAAATTTCTAACTTGTACTTTATTTTAAAAGTTCAGGGGTGCATGTGCAGGATGTGCCTATTTGTTATATAAATGTGTGCCGTGGTGCTTTGCTGCACACATCATCCCATCACCTAGGTATTAAGCCTTAGCATCCATGAGCTATTCTTCCTGATGCTCTCCCTTCTCCCACTGCCCATCCGCCAAATAGGTCCCAATGTGTTTTGTTTCTCCCTATGTGTCCATGTGTTCTCATAATTCAGCTCCCACTTATAAGTGAGAATATGCAGTATTTGATTTTCTGTTCCTCCATTTGCTGAGGATAATGACTTCTAGCTCCATCCATGTCCTCGCAAAGGATACGATCTCTTTCTTTTTTATGGCAGCATAGTATTCCCTGGTGTGTATGTATCACATTTTCTTTATCCAGTCTGTCATTGACGGGCATTTAGGTTGATTTCATGTCTTTGCTATTGTGAATAGTGCTGCAATGAACATATGTGTGCATATATGTTTATAAGAGAATTTTTATAGAGTCTCACTCTCTGTAGAACAGTCAAGAACCAGGTTTATGAAGGTATAGAAAACCACCAAGAAGAGTCCAACAGAGACACCATCTGGCCTTAAAGATTGCCTTGATTAGCGAGTATATTATTCTATTACCAGCGTTAAACTCTTCAGGGATGTTTCCTTGGCATGAGAACTTTGTAGATTCCAATATATGTTACATTGTTATACTGGGGATACAAATATATTTAATGGGAGAGAGTACAAACCATATTTCTTAGATATATAATCTATTCATTTTTTTGTTCAGCAATTTCATGTGTGCAGTATGCTACCTTAGTGTATTTTGTAACTAGAGGTGAGGATATGGGACACAGCAATCTCCCTTAGGCACACGTGTATTTTGGGGAAATGTGAATAATGAACCTGGTAAATAGCTCAAGGAAAAAGCACAGGTTCCCCTGAGCATTTCTGTGGACCTAAAAATCTTTCACTAACTGCTTTTCACACTGACCAAGACTGGACACATGCTGGTAATAGGTATTGGTAGCTGAAAGAGGCATAATATTATCTGTATTGAGTTGGTTTCCCCCAGAAGCGGACCCTAAGGTAAGGATTCAAGCTCAGGTTGTTTATTAAGGCAGCGATCCCAGCCAACACTTGTAGGGAAGTGGGGAAGCAATGCAGGGAAACAAAAAAGGGAAGCTTTATCAAACCCGTTTCCACTGTGAGCATCTGCCACACATTCAGACCACTGTGGGAAACAGCCTAGAACACACTTCAGAGTTATCCCAGCTCAAGGGAGATGCAGCCGGGATATTTATCCACCATCTTCCCATCACCACTGGTGGAGTGAGTTCTGGGGCCATTCATTCTCCAGCACTTCTGATTTGGCATTTGTAATATGCTCTGTGGGGAAAGAAAGTTCTCCCACTGCCTGGCCCCAGAGCCCTCAGGCAAACAGTTTTAAAGTGGTAGCATGATTGAGGAGGAGATCTGGTGGGACATAGACAGACCCTTCCACAGAGTCAATGAACAGAGAAGTCACCATGAGCTTGGCCAGACTCAGCGTGCTCCCAGGCCACAGGAGAGAAATGGCACCTCCTCGATCCAAGCATTCTTTAACCTAGATTGGGACTAAGACTAGCATTCATGCTGACAGGTAACATGGCAGGTAACATGAACAAGCGTATGATGAAGCAAGAAATCAGGAGACGCTGCCTATAAAGCCAAGAGTGAGATGTTTCCATTTCCACCAAAACGGCTGCTCTCAACATCACTCATCATTAGGGAAATGCAAATCAAAGCCAAAATGAGATGTCACTTCACACCCATCAGGATGGCAATGATAACACGAATCCACAGAAAATAGCAGGTATTGGCAAGGATCTAAGGAAGCTGGAGCTCTTGCGCACTGTTGGTGAGAATGTAGCATGGTGCAGCTGCTGTTTGGAAAACGATATGGCAGTTCCTCAAAAATTTAAAAATAGAATTACCATACGATCCAGCAATTCCACTTCTGGGTATATATCCAGCAGAATTGAAAGCAGGATGTTGAGATATTTGTATACCCATGTTCACAGCAGCATTATTCATAGTGGCCAAAAGGCAGAAGCAACTCAAGTGTCTATCAGCGGATAAATGGATGAAAAAGGTATGCTGTATATGTAAAATGGAATATTATTCAACCTTAAAAAGAAAGACAACTCTTACATATGCTACAACATGGATGAACCTTAACAACATTATGCTTAGGGAAATAAGCCAGACACAAAAGGACAAATAGCATATGGTTCTACTTATAAGAGGAACTAGAATGTATTATTATAGAGAATAATAAACCATGATAATAATAAACCATAGAGACAGAAATCAGAATGATGATTGCCAAGGGTGAGAAGTAAGGGGGAATGAAGAGGGGGAAAAAGCTACTGCTGCCATATACCAGACTCCCCTAACTCCTCTACCTCCTTTTACTTTGAAGTCTTAGACTCCTTCATCCTGGCTACAATTGCTGCCTGTGTCAGCCCCTGTCTCCTGCTTCCCGAGTCCTGCACAGCTGAATTCACTGACTGCCCATAAATGTAATCTTCTGCCTACCCCAGGGCATGAGAAAGGCGTGATGGATTTTCCATCCGTCTTTTCTAGTAGGGCTTAGGATTGGACACACTCACCAATCCAAGGACTTGGTAGCCAAATTATAACTATTACACACCCACTTTGGGCTTCTCCCCAAACACTGCCTGTGCTGCCAGGCCCTAGCGCCCACAGCCCACTGACTAGCAGCAGTGGCATCACCAGGGAGCTTGTGGGAAATGCAGAATCTTGGGTCTCACCCCGACCCATTGAATCAGAGTCTGCATTTCAGCAAGGACCCCTGGTGATTCTGTGCACGTTAAAATTTGAGAAGCAGTTGGGTAGACTCCAGAGCTGTGGTTCTCAACCCTGGTTACCCTAGAACTGTGGGGTTAAGGGGTACGAGGAGGCTTTCTAAAAATTGCCAATACTCAAGTTCTGATTGGGTTGCCTTGAAATGGAATGTGAGCATCGGCGTTTTTCAAAAGCTCTCTAGGGAGTTCTACCATGCAGCTGAGGCCAGGATCTGCTGCTATAGGGCAAGTTTTGGCATCTTGCATTGACATTGTTTGAAGAATAGGATTCCTGCCTGAGATATCCATCTTTTCAATGTCTTGTTTCCCTACCCACTGCTCCTCCAAGATCAAAGTCATTTTTTTCTGAAGAGTCCTGCTGTCTAATGTTGCTTTTGAGAGTCCCCCTTTTCTGGACCTCTGCCTTGATATAGGGCTTAGTCCTAACCAAGTTCTGTCCCTGTGGACAATGTTCTTGGCTGGTGACCACCTGACCATCAGCAGTCAGGATGCACAAGTATACAGTTCCTGCCCATCTAATGAGATATCTTAGTATTAACTTTTGGAATTAGGATTTAAACTGTTGTGCTGTATGTTTGGACACTAGAATGACTCCAGCCTCTGACTGTATAGAAAATGGTGCCTTCAGCCTACCATTCTCTATCTTTAGTGAAATTACTATGTGCTAGGCATTATTCTAAGAAGTCCGTGTGTGTTAGCTGATTTAATCCTCATAAAAACCTGTTATCTCCATTGTGTATTGAAGGAAGCTGAAGTGAAGAGAAGTTTAGTAACTTGCTCAAAGTTGCATAGCTGGTTCGTGGCAAAGTTGGAAGCTGGAGTCTGACTCCAGAGATCACACTTTTAACCATGATGCTATTTTTGAACAAAGTTCCTTTAATACAAAGTGAGAAGACCTGAATAAATACATTATATGGAGGCGACATGTTTTACTGTGTATCTGTTTTGCTGAGTCCAGCTTGGCTCTGCTTGATATTTAAGTTTGGTTCTTAACAGTTACAACTTGTATTTTTTCCCCAAACCAACTAGATCAGCCTCTAGTGGTCAAGATTTGTCATGTCTTGGAGTTGGCTTCAGGCATTTGGATAGAGAAAGGAACCCTGGAGGGAAACTGGCATTTAAGGACAGGGTTGGAGAAAATGAGAAATCCACAAAGGGACTTCAGAAGAATGACCATCCAATGCACTATACAAAAATCAAACCCTTTCCATTACGATGGGATTTATTCCATAGCTATTTGGACCTTGAGGTGATGGTTTCAGACTTTTCTTTCCCCAGATTTGTCTGAAAAACTCCCTGGGAATGACTTTGCTTTCTCAGTCCCTTCCTATCTGGTGTCCCTGGACCGCTCAACTCTCCTGCTCACTGAATTCCTCCAACCTGCACCCAACCATCCAGGGTTATACAGCCTACTCTTCAGGCAATTTCTATTTACCTTTGAAAAAAATCACAAGCTCAATTTCCCCTTCTTGAATTGCAGTGTCAAATTTTACTGCCCATGAATCTTTTCTGGTCCTTTGTGAATTTAGCATTTCTGAAGCCTGCCATGACATTGGAAAACATGTTTTCTTATAGAAAAAGAAGAACTATATATGGAATATAGTTTTATGAATAGAGTTTGAGATTATAGAAAGAAGATAATGCAAATGAAAAAAAATCCAACAGAAATCATTAGATGCAGAATGTTTCTTGTAATGGCCAATATTTAGTCAATTGAATAAAAGAGAATGAGTTTGGGGTATATTCAGAAAACAATTATTGCTATTAAGAGAAAACAGGTGTAATGTCAAAAGTAAAATAGAGGCATCTGTCTCACACCCTGCCTTCTGTCTAGGAGACGTTTCCTCTATCAGCACCTGTGAGAGTTTAAGGGGACAGTCCCCCAGGAGACCATCCCACTTCTGACAACAATTGCAAGTTTGAGGGGTTCTCAAAACCACCTTCAGGTTCATTAGTTTGTAGAAGGAATCACAGAACTCAGTAATGTCTATTATGCCCATGGTTAGAGTTTATTCCAGGGGAACGATACAGATTAATGGCAGCCAAGAAAAGAAGCACATACAGTGAATACCTGGGAAAGTACAAAATATGAGAGTCCCATTGCCCTCTCCATGGAGTCAGGACCAATGTTACTTTCCTGGTGTTTATGAGTGACAATATGTCAACCAGAGAATCTCGCTTGATCTTTACTATCTAGAGTTTTTACAGGGGACTTGGTCACACTGAGCAGGATGTGAGACTTCTCACCTGACTGACCTTTATTCTCCATCCCTCCTGGAGGTTAGATAACTAATACAACATGGCCCAAAGCTCCCATTGTAAATCACATTGCTAGACCATTTGTTGGCCAAAACTCTCAGGCAAACAGAGATACCCTTATGAAACATGATATTCCAGGGGTCCTAGAAATCACCTCCCAGTAGCAAAGGGAAAAGGTGAGATCTCTCTTTAGGTAATGTTAATTCTTCAGTGCATAACACCTCCCCTCCGACCTAACATTCTGGCCTTAGTTTCTTACACTTTCCTTGGAGGAGAAGCCCTTCTGTCTCCTTAGATGGAGCTGTCTTCTTGTTTCACAACATCATAAACATTGCATTATTTACTTTCACCATTTTACATCAATGACCTGTTAAATATTACTTTAATGTTCATCTTCCTCATTCAGATTATACATCCCATGAAAGTAGGGACCAACCCTGCCTTGGTTGCCACTACAGACCCAGTTTTTGGCCAAGTGCTTATTTCCCTCACTTTACAGATGAGAAAACCCAGAGAGATAACATCAATTGCTAGTTCATGACAGAACTGATGCTAAATTGCCTTAAGAAACAAATAAGTAAGAGTGGGGCTTGGAATTTTTTAAAAATTGCAGACTGTCTAAACCACTTATGTGACCTTGGGCAAGTGAATACAGGATGAGAATTTTATTCTAAGCTTGGTGCAGGGCATGGCAAAGTCAGTGCTCAGATCAGCCCATCATACCTCCAAGCCTTCTCTCTCCTGGGTAATTCAGAGTTGACTGTTACAGAATAAAGCAGTTTAACGTCAGAGGTCAGAGACCTGGAGAAGACCTGGGGACTCGAGAGATATGGCAAGGAACTTGAATTTATTATTTTGCTAAGGAAATACATTCCACTTGGAAAGAGGGAAAACAGAGCTATTGGGCTTTTATACCTTCGTGTAGGGCTCCTACACGAAGGTATAAAAGTTCTAGTTCTAGAGGAACTAGACTGAGTTCCTCTCTGGATTCTGGGGAGAAATTTGTTCCTTGGGAAATCATTCTTCAGCCTTCACTTTGCACTTTCTCTTTCTCATGTCTTCTTCCCAGCTCTGCTTCCTCATGTTATAACAAGCAGACAGCCCACCCATTCTGCAAGGACTCTGTGCTCTAGCCCCTCCCCACTCCCAGACGCCTGCTCCTTCGGTCTCAGCTTAGCCAAACTACACATACTGTATTCTTCTAATCTTCCCTGACAGATCAATCCTTCTAGGCTCTTAATTATTCATGTGGCTCTCCTCTGAATTCCCTTCAGGCTACTGGCTCCTTTCTGGTAGTTGATGTGTCTTGTCTGAGGCGGCTCATTGAGTTCCCAGGAGATAGGCTTCTGTGCTTATGGCCAGAGCCCCCAAAAGGACAGAGGAGGCAAGGACTGTAGAGTGGGGAGAGGTGAGGTGTGCTGGGGAATGGAGATTGGAATGATGCTCAATTTACATTCTGGCTCCCACGTTTGTTGACAACAGACAAATTACTCAACCTTTTCAGCTGCCTCACTTGCCACACGGGGTGAAAACAATCCTTGCATTATGTGGGTCCTTATAAATATTAAGTGAAGTACCAGGCTATAGCAGGTACCCCTCCATGGGAGCCTTTATTAGTATTAGTGGCAGCAAGCTTTCCCTCCTGCACCCGATGGCTCCTACTCAATAGCTTCTCCCCAGGCCAGCCCACGTGGCCATGTTCTTGCTGCTGAACCAGTCCATTGGGGTAAGGTTTTGCAGCCAGAGGCTATGGCTAAAATGCACCTGGAACAAAGCAAAGCAGACTGTTCTTTTTTATGGACACTTTGACAAGAAGTTTTCCATCAGAAGAGAATGGGATATCCTTAGCTCAGGAATCTTGTCACCTTCTATCTGGACTACTGGGGTAGCCTTCTGAAAGCTCATCTTGTCTCTACAAGGCTGGCCAAATGTCCATTGTCCCAGAACTGTCCCAGTTTGATCGCTGAATGTCTGGTGTCCAAAGAAATGGCTCCGTCCCAGGGAAATGGGAAACTTTGGTCATCCTTTGGCAAACTCTTTTTCCCCAACACTTTAGGTAACTCCACCATAAAATTTGATCTCAAAACACCATTTCATCCTCTGAGTAATCCAGACACTACCTCCTGCTTCAATCCGGAAAGGGAGCCCCTCCCAAGATTATTCCCTTTCCCTCCTGCCTCACTCGAGTGTCCTCCTCCCCTACTCATTGCTCCTAACAGCTACTTCCATCCTTCTCAGTGCTTTCCCTTTGGGAGGCCTTCGTTCTCCTGTTCTTCCCTGTCTTCTGAAGGGCTCTTCCCTAGAAAGGCCACGAACACAGATCCAGCCAATCAGCAACGTGTTGATCCCAAGGTCAAAAAGTGGCCACCACAAGACAAGGGTGTTATGCAGAGAGCTTGGCTTGTTCCTAAACTGAAAATTAATTTTTTTTAAGTGGAGAGATGTCACATAAAAATCTACACTCGTAGCTTCTCTAGAAAACACACAGAAGCAGGCAACAGTGGGCCAGTATTTTCTTGCAGCTGAGTGGAGGCTTCCCTCAGGCAGGGCATGGGTGTCCTGCCTGGTTTGCCACAGATCCTACCCCACACAGAGACTGAGGGCCAGTTGCATTGTTTTTTTCATTGTGCTTTTCTTCCAGTGGAGAAATAGCCCTCTGTATGCTCTGTTTATAATCAAAACTGAGAAGATGAAAACTAGACCAAGAGGATTCAGTGATTTTTCTTATATCTTCCCTACTTTACTGGTGTACTGGTGTATATTTACCTGTCAGATTCATGTAGACACTGGATCTTGGGAGTTTTTGATATGGTGCAGAGGATGGCAATTTTTTTCTGCAAAGGGCCAGATAGTAAATATTTTAGGCCTTGTGGAACATACAATTATTGTCACAACTGCTCACCTTTGTCTTGGTAGTGTGAAAGCAAACTTAGATAAAGAAGCAAATATGGCTATGTTCCAATAAAACTTTATTTACAAAAACAGGCATTGGGTTGGATTTGGCCCTCAGGTCATGCTGGTTTCTGATCTAGTTTATTTCCCTCGTGTAACAGCTGAGAAAACCCAGAGAGATAACATTAATTGCTGGTCTGTGGCAGAACTGATGTTAAGATCTTGGCTTTTCACCTCCTAAAAGCCTAGCCAAAATACAACCACTTCATATCGCCATTCATGGCCGCTATATAGTCTCCAGTCACCATAAGGCTCTGCCTCCTTGGACTCCCAGGGGCTCATCCCAGAGCCGCTTACCTGGGCCCTCAATCATCAACTGTCCTGAATATCTTATGTCTGTGGCCAGGTTACAGGTCCTCTGCCTCATATGTTTTCTATACACACAGCACTTTACAAAAAGTGGTTAACGTAGAGTAGGTGCTTATTAAACACATGCAGGAATTTGAAAAAGGCCTGGGGTCCAGTCAGGAGGACCCAGGATACCCAGAATAGGTTCTAGTGGGTGTTGGGGAGGTAGGAAGCATTGAAGACAATATTTGTTCACCTCACAAATGAAGTTTCCTGGAGTGATTCTGATAATGATGAGCCATCCATACTTCCTTACACAGTTCCAGAGTTCCCTCTCTGCCTTTTTGACCCTGGTTCTCATGGTCTGACTTTACTCCTGGGTCTGCCTGCCTCCTTGGATTTTACTCCCATCCTTCTGGACACTGTGATATGATTAGAGCTGCAGGAATAAGGATGGAAGTTTAGCAAAGCATGTGATAAGGGGCTGTTTCCCCCTTGTTTGTCTGTAATGACCTGACTGTCATGTGCCTTAGAAGTACACCTATCACTTTTGCTCCAAGTATGATTTCCTAAAATGGCAGCCTGAGTGATAGGCATGTTCTTCTTCTATATCTTCTTGAACTTTCTAAGAAAAAAAAAAAAATGAGAAAGAGAACATCTGAAAAGAACCTGTGGAGAGCTGGCATTCTCTGGATCTGGCAGGATTGTTTTTGGTGGGAGATGACAAATAGGTTTCATCTTGTGAGCTATTTCTGTTCAGTTGCCCCTGACATGGGCAGCACTACGATGAGAAGTATTGAGAAGCTGTGTCTGGGCTCGGAGAGTTCTGTGATTTACTGATGTTGTCTCCCCTGGCACAGAAGGAAGGACTGGAGCACAAAGGCCACATATTTCCTTTCACTAAGTTAGGACAGGATGAGAACTGGGGGGAAAGGGAGTTGTATGCGCTTCATTTCCCTTTGCTCTTCCTCCCTGAGATGATAATGAAGACAGAGCTGCAAAAAATGAGGATCCTATGGTGGAGAAATGCCCCAAGTGGGCGAGGGATTGGGGCAGAGAGTGGTTGTAATTTATGGTAACGACTCAAGAATATAAATGAGAAAATAGACAAGAATTCATGAATTCCCTTTTGGCATTAAGCATTTGATCTCTTTCTCATTTGGTTTCCACATTAGCATTTTTATATTAAGGAATCAGCGATACTAACCCATTTCACTGGTATGCGTGGGATCATCTGAGTGTTGCAGACACTGCAGGGAGATGGAGCCAGCTGACACCTGAGGGCAGTTTGGAGGCGAGTCACAAAGGCATGGGGGTCAGAAACATGACCACTGGAAGGACAGGCCCAGAGGCTTGAGAGAGGCAAGGGCAGGAGGGCTGTTCTCAGGAGACAGCCAGGGGAATGAGGTTGAGCAGAGAATTCTGCTGCAGGGCAAAGGACTCTGCCCTCCACATCTCAGAGCAGGAGATCAAATATTAGCTCTTTCTATGGAGCCCTGGCCTGGGGCTTCCATCTGTGTGTTCCTGGCTGTGAGCAGCCAGGCTAGAATTTGATTACTTTGGCCAAAGGCCTCTGCAGGAAATATTCTCACCCGATAAAGGGCTTAAAATTTTGCACACATCACCCAGTCTCCCTTGGCTCTATTTTTCTTCCGCTGGGAGTAGGAAGTGAGTTATGACCAGAGACCCCCCGTCGCCAGGCGAGGTGATTATTTTTGCATTTTCTCCCACAGCCATGAAGTCACTTCTTGTTAAGTAATTTAAAAATAGAAACAGTCATAGGAAAAAAAATTCTTAATAAAGCACCTAGGCAAAGAGAGTCATAACATGTCATGGCATTTCGAAAAAGATCGTTTCACCCATTTATGTTGACCCCGTTTAAACTGCTGCATTTCATTTTCTTAAATTATTTTTGAGATAACCTAGCAGTTCTATTTTGAAGGCTTATTACGTTGAATTTATGTACATGTTAGTATATACAGAGGCTTTTTCTCATTAAGTAGTACATATCTTTAAGATGTGAATTAAACAAGAAGCTTTATTTCTGCCAACTCCCCCTCTCCCAAACTCCACCTAAGGGAGAGCCAGCCACCCACAGCCCATGTGCTGCAGCTGGATTTTGTAAGCGCCATCCCCTCCTCATCTCCTCTCACCATGTCCCCACTGGAGAAGGGGTAGCCCAGATTCCAGACAATGCCCTTAGCATATGACTCTAATGGATCTGCCACAAACTATGAGCTGAGTGCAGCAGTTTCCTTGGTCTGGAATTGGGAGACATGAAGAAACTGAGGCAGCAGAAGCTGAAATGGAAAGCTCAAGAAATGGGACTAGGGTGACTACAACATCTCTCCTCTTTGCATCTCAACCAGCAAAACAGAAACAAAATCAGCTTTTGTTTTCTCTTGATTTGAAGTTTGTGAATCACTTCACTTTTTAAAAAAATCAAATAAAAGTGAATTGGGTCTTTAGTGGAAGTTAGGTATTTCATCACCCCAAGTAAATCCTCCCAGTAAAACTAGGGCATCACATGGAGGCAGGAGTGAAATCAGGAGGTGGCTTTCCCATGTACCTGATGCCATACTAAGGGGCTCACCCACTGGGGTAATCTGGAAGGTTGCAAAGCCCTCCAAGCATGTTGATGTTGGGCCCCCTCATTTCTTCCACTCCATGTAAAACTATGCCAAGGCCTGAGTTCATACAGGCTGACATCCTTTGGAATTACTGCTTTAACGAGGGAGAGAATTAATCTCATTACTAAAAATACTTTGTCTTCTTGTCTGACTTTAGTTTCCCCATTTAAAAAAAAGCAGGGAATCCCAGCTTATCCCATCCCCCTGATACCAGGATAGATTGCCGATTAATGTGAGACTGTAAAGGAGACGTGCTGAATGATTCTGAGGGCAGATGCTATGCAAATGCAAGACGCAATAATAGACACGCTCCTCACACCTGAGCCCACCATAACCTTTGGATTGCCTTCTTGGAAATAAGATGAGAGCTGATATTTAATAAAGCTCGTGTTTTTTAGAAGATCGTGGTAGCGAATCTTGCTGAGCGGATTTAGGCTTTAGTGACCTTTCTATGCCATTACAAATAGTGTCAGCAGGTTAACGCAATGCAGAATGTGCTCACTGTTGTAGAGAAAACGCCTTTATGTCTTTATTAGTCTTTTTTTAAAAGAATACTGCAGGCTTCCATTTCACTGATTTGTCCATTTGAATCTGCCTGAATCGGGGGCCAGTTTACACTACACATGAAGAGAGCATAATAATAACGCCTATAGTGAGGGTCAGTGAACTATGGATTGCAATACTTTGCAGAGATATTGCATTTACTGCAAAGCCATATGGCCTTATTATTGTATCTATGTCAAGCCTTGTGAACGTGGAGGACACCTAATATGTTTGTTTACCTGTTTCTTTTTTATTAGTTCACACTAAGCAGTTTGGACCTCTGGTCTGTGAGACCTTGAGTTTTAACATCACAATGGTTTAAAGCCAAATATGCCTATTTCTTATATTAAAGAATCAGAAAATACATCATATGCACAAAATAATATATCAAACATATGGCTAGTATAAAGAAGAAGAATAAAATAAACATCAATATAACTACCAGTATGGTTAGGAAACAACATTAGTGGCACTTAGGAATCCCCTGGGTGCCCCTGCTTGACTGCACACTCTCCCACCCCACCTGGAGGTATCAACCAGTCTGTATTTTGGGTGAATAATTTCATTGCTTTTCTTGGTTGTGGTACTGTGGAATTATTCCCAAGTAATACATTTAGTTTTGCCTAACTCTATATAACTGGAATCATCCTGCAAGTATTCTTCTCCTTCTTCTTAAATTTACATTATCTTTGAGGTTCCTTAACATTGATATATAATGTGCAATTGTGAATCTAGCACATCTATTGATTCAGTCTACCGTTGATAAACATCTGGCTTGTTTCCATATTTTCACGAGTGTGACAACACTGTGTGTACATTCTTGAATTATGTTTCCTGTGCAAGAGTTTCTCCAGGGTTTATGCCAAGAAGTGGAATTGTTGGATCTGAGAATAAACAAAACTTGAGTCATGTCAAAATGTTTCCCAAGAGGTTGTACTACTTTAATCTCTAACCACTGGTCAACGGGCATTGCTTGTTTTTTTTTTTCTCTATCTTCATCAAAACTTACAATTGCCAGTCTGATAGTGTGAAGTGATAATACAATGCTAAGTGTTAGGTGATTTTTGTTATTTGCCTGATTATCAGTGAAGTACAACATTTTTGTTCATAGGACATTTGCATTTACTCTTTTGTAAACTCCCAGTTTGTTGTATGTCTTAGTCCATTTTGTGTTGCTATAACAAAATAAATGAGACTGGGTGTAAGCAATACGAATTTATTTGGCTCACAGTTCTGGAGGCTGGGAAGTCCAAGAGCATGGCACCGGCATCTGGTGAGGGCCTTTGTGTTGCATCATCCTGTGGTGGAAGGTGGAAGGGCAAGAGAGTGCAAGTGTAAGAGAGCAGAGAGGATCAAAAAAGCCCACTCTTGTGACAACCAACTGACTCCCATGATAATAATATTATTAGGCTTTGCTCTCATGATCTAATCACCTCTTATTAGGCCACACCTCTCAACACTGTTGCATTGGAGATTAAGTTTCTAACACATGAATTTTGGGGAACACATTCAAACCATAGCAATACCTTTTGCACATTTTTCTATCACTTGTTTGTCTTTTTCTTAATTTTTATCAGTTATGTGTTCATGATACTTATCCTTTGTCATTTATAAATGTAATATCTCCATTTGGTGGCTTATGTATTCACTCTTCTTAATACCTTTTGGTGAACAGAAATTTTTTATTTTAATGTAACCATACTTACAAATCTTCTTTAATGGATTATGTATTAATGTTTTGTTTAAGAACTTCTACCTGAAGATCATAAACTCCTATTTCTCCTAAAAAATGTTTTGGTTTTTTTTTTGAGGCAGAGTCTCGCTCTGTCGCCCAGGCTAGAGTGCAGTGGTGTGATCTCAGCTCACTGCAAGCTCCACCTCCCGAGTTCATACCATTCTTCTGCGTCAGCCTCCTGAGTAGCTGGGACTACAGGTGCCCACCACCACGCCCAGCTAATTTTTTGTATTTTTTAGTAGAGACAGGGTTTCACCATGTTAGCCAGGATGATCTCAATCTCCTGACCTCATGATCCACTGGCCTTGGCCTCCCAAAGTGCTGGGATTACAGGCGTGAGCCACCATGCCCAGCCCATTTTTCTTGTTAAATATAATAAAATTCACCAGGGATGTATTTTGTGTAGCATGTGAGGAGGATATGCCATTTAAGGTTTTTGCATTTGGAATGATGTCTCTGCATCATTGATTGAATTGTCTGTCATTTTCCTGATGGTCTTCAATATCCTTCTGTGACAAATCTCCATATAAGCATGGGCTTATTTCTGAGCATTCTGTTCTATTCCATTGGCTTATTTCTCATACACATGCCAGTATCTCACTGTCTTAACTACTATAGCTTCATAAAATGCATGAGATCTGCAAGACGAATCCTCCTTCCAAGTTATGTTTCCGTATAAACTGCAGAATCATCTCATCCAGTTTCGTAAATATTCCTTTTGGAATTTTCAATGGAATTGCATTGAATACATGGATTACTTTGGGGGAAATTAACACTTCAAATCTTCTTATCCATGAATTATTTAGATATCTATTTAGGTCTCTGTAGTCTTTCATTAAAGTTTTCTCATTTTCTTTATAAAGCACCTATATGTACTTAGATTTATTCCTAAGAAATATATATGTATGTATAACTATTATGATGGTAGCTTTAATACATCACATTTTAAAATGACTAAATTTAACAAATTATTTAATCTTTTAAGCTCACCTATTAATAATTTATTCGCTAATTCTTTTGAGTTTTATATTAATAATAATATAATTCCAATTCCTATATATGTATATAGTTTTTTATCTTACTATGCTACTCCAGTAGGAGTAGTAATGGTGGGAATTTTTAGCTTGTTCCTACTCTTAGATGTAATGCTTTTAACATTTTGCCATTAAATGTGTTACTTTCTAAAGGTTTTTGTATAAATATACTTTTTAAAGATATCTGGAAAATGAAGTTTTTTTCTATTTCTAATTTGTTTATTTTTATCGTGAATACATGTTATATTTTGTTGAATTATTATTTTGACATCTGCAGAAATGATCAGATGGTATTTATCCTTTAAGCTGTTAATGAGGTAAATTACATTACTCTATTAAGCCAACCTTGCATTCTTGGCATCAAACCAAGAAAACATGATGACTAGCCATTTTTATACATGGTAGTGTAGTAGAAAGATCTGGACCCTGGGTCAGAATATCTATATTTAAGTCTTCCTCCTGCTTACACTTTTCAAAATAAAACCCATGTGCTGTTGTCAGGCTACCTGATTTTAATTGAAATAGCACTAATTTTCTTATTTGTCAATCCCTTATTTTCAGTTTTCTCTTTGGTAAGATAATTGGAAAGTCATTACAAATTTTAGATGGTATTACAAATGTATGAATTTGTGATCTCTTTGTTATTTCCAGTGTTCTGAATCTATATCCAGAAAGAAGCAAATGTTCTTCATTCTTTCTATCTTTATAAAAATTGAAAATAGGAAGGAATTCCCTGGTTTAACTTGAATCTTCCCTTTCTTCATAGTATCACTCTCAGGAAGTAATGGTTGAGTGAAAAATATCACAGTTTGGGTTTTTTCATTTTATTTCTCTTTTCAACTTGCTGTGGATAACTCCCACATTCCTGAAATGTCCAGTAATTACACTGGGGTAAAAAATCAATTTCACTAGTAATAATAGACACCTTTTATTGAGTTCCTATTTGCCAGCCATTGTGCTAAGTCATTTATCATATATTTTACTTATTTTGGAGCCAAAGATATGTGAGGTAGGTACCATTATTCCCATTTTATAGATGAAGAGAGTGGGCTTAAAAGTGTTTGAGTATCCTTTGCTATGCAGAGCTTTTTAGTTTGTAGTCATCCCACTTGCCTAATTTTGCCTTTGTTGCTTGTTCTTTTGGCATCACATCCAAGAAATTATTGCCAAGCCCAATCTCATGATGCTGTTCCTTGTGTTTTCTTCTAGAAGTTTTATAGTTCTAGGTCTTGTGCTTAAGTTTTTTCTCAATTTTGACTTGATTTATATGTGCATATGATGTAAAATAAGGGTCCAGTTTTATTCTTTTGTGTGTGGTTTTTCAATTTTCACAATACCATTTATTGAAAAGATTGTCCCTTCCCCAGTATGTATTCTTGGCATCATTGTCAAAATCAGTTGACTGTATATAAATATGCATTCATTTCTGAGCTCTCTTTTCTGTTCCATTGGTATGTATGTCTGTTTTTATGCCAGCACCATACTGTTTTAATTATTATACCTTTGTATTATACTTTGAAATCAGGAAGTCTGATGCCTTCAGTTTTGTTCTTCTTTCTCAAGACTGCTTTGGTTATTCAGGGTCATTTGTAGTTCCACATGACTTTTAGGACTTTTTCCTATTTCTATAAAAAATGCCATTAGGATTTTGATAGGGATTGCAATAAATTTATAGGTGGCTTTTATGGACATTTGGACAACATTAAGTCTTCTGGCCATAAACACAAGATGTCTTTCCATTTACCTGTATCTTGATTTGTAGTTTTCAGTGTGCAAGTCTTTCATCTCTTTAGTTAAACTTATTTCTTAGTATTTTATTTGATTTGATGTAATTATAAATAGGATTTTTTTCTTAATTTCCTTTTTATATAGTTCATCATTAATGTATAGAAAAAACTGATTTTTATATTTTGACTTGTGTCTTGCAACTTTATGCATTTATTTGTCCTAAGAGTTTTTTTTGTGTGTGTGGAGTCTTTAGGATTTTCTGTATATAAGAGCATATCATCTGGAAACAGTAGTAATTTAACTACTTCCTCTCTGATGTGGACACATTTTATTTCTTTTGCTTACCTAATTACTCTGGCTAGGACTTCCTATATTGCATTTAATAAAAGTGGTGAAAGTAGGCATCCTTGCTTTGTTCCCACCGTTAGAAGTTTTCATCATTGATGATGGTGTTAGCTGGGGGCTTTTCATATATGGACTTTATTGTGTTGAGGTAAATTACTTTTATACTTAGTTTGTTGTAAAAAGGCAATCTACAGAATTGTAAAAAAATTTGCAAAACATGTATCTGACAAGGGATTAAAATCCAAAATATATAAGGAACTCCTACAACTGAATTGCAAATAGATAATGACGATAACCCAATTAAAAACTGGACAAAGGACTTGAATAGATGTTTCTTCAAAGAAGACATATAAATAGCCAACAGGCATATGAAAATGTGCTCAACATCACTTATCATCAGGAAAATGCATATGAAACAACAGCATGATATCACGTCACATTTGTCAAGATGGCTGTTATTTTATTTAAAAAAAACCCAAAAGACAACAAATATTGGTGAGATACGAATAAATTGGAGCCCTTGTACACCGTTGGTGGGAATAGAAAATTGTGCAGCCACTATACAAAACGGTATAATGAGTCCTCAAAAAATTAAAAATGGAATTATCATATAAACCAGCAATCCCATCTCTGGGTATATATCCAAAATAATTGAAATCAAGATATTGAAGAGACATAGGCACTCTTATGTTCATTGCAGTATTATTTATAATAGCCCAGATGTAGAAACAACCTAAATGTCCATTTAAAGATGAAGAAAATGTAGTATATACATATACTGGAATGTTATTCATTATTAAGAAAAGGAAGAAATCCTGTCATATGCAACAACATGGATGAACCTGGAGGACATTATGTTAAGTGAAATAAGCCATGCATAGAAGGACAAATGCTGCATGATTACATTTACATGAGGAATCTAAAATAGTCAAACTCATAGAAACAGAGAGTAGAAGGTGGTTGCAGGGGCTGGAGGAGAGGGAGAAATGGGGCGTTGCTGTTTACCAGATATAAAGTTATAGTTATGCAAGAATAAATTCTAGAGATATGCTGTATAACACTGTGCCTATAGGTAGCAATAGCTATATTGTTAACAATTAAAAATATTGTGCACTTAAAAATTTGTCAGAGTAGATCTCATGTTAAGTGTTCTTAGCACAATAACAATTTTAAAAATAAATTAATATTTTTTAAAAAGGTTGCATATCTTGCCTAAAATCTGGCAAGATGAAGCCTTGCAAAATCGCTCTTCTTCCATTCCATAATGCAGCATCCTTTAGTCTACTGGGGTATTATTAACACATAGTGATGGCTTCTTTAGACCGTGGTAAGTCTAAATTCCCAGTGTACAGTTGCACATAGTTCCCTTCATATGTTAAGTTGGATTTTAATTTGAGCAAACCTTTGTCTCCTTCCCTTACCTCCAGCCCCCACCACCTCCAGCTCCAGGCAAACCATATCAGTACATTCTGAGAGGGCTTTGGAGATTTCCAATTTTGATTTGGGAGCAACGGGGCATCCTACTACTTTACTGTTGGGAAGTTCGACTGTGAACTTTGTTATGAATCCACCTGTTCCTAACTAACCTGATTAAACTCTGCAAGTCATACTTGTATTTCTTGAAGAAAGGAATGGAAAAGATGAAAAGGGTGATGAGAGGGGATGGGTTGGCATAAGTCTTTCTTCTCAGGGCCAGTGTCTTTTCATCACCATCTCTTCACCGTAGAAAGTCATTTATTCTAGAGTTTCAATTTCCTCTGTAAATGAAGGATAAACATCTTGTTTCTTGGTGGGAGTCTAGGAAGAATTCATATGGTTAGCGTGTAAGCCACTTTGAGATTTTTGGATAAGAGCTGTTTTGTCAATTCTGAAGTTAAAGAATTATGGTTTTAACATCCTATTTATCTCAAAACTGGCACTTGTCATTCATTTTATCTGCCAGGTCTTTGCAAAAAAGGCCTCAAGAACTGGCAGAGAGAGCAGTCTTAAGAAGGTAGAGTGAACTGTTTCAGTAGGGTGAGTGGTGAGTAGCAAGTTAGGTTTATTTCTAAGTATTCTTTTTGATGTGGCAGTGGAGAGGCGCCTTATTTCCTAACTAGTGAAAAGAGAAATATTTTTACAATAGAAACTGTCTCATTTATAAGCGTTGCTGGTGACTATCAGTACAATTGGGTCTGAGAAGTCGTTGGGTGCAGTCTCCTTTTCCCACTGATTGACATCTTACTCTTTGGATCCTAAAGATTTTGTGGTCCTTTGTTATCTTTTGAAATATTTATGTGGCTCAGAGAAAATACACTTAAGGTGTTATTAACTAGTATCCTAATCACTTCATTCAATTCATTTTTTAAAAAATGCATTCTGTAACTACTAACTGTAAAACTCAATGCTAACATGAGAGGATACAAAAAGGAAGGAAACAGAGCCTCTTCCCTTAGGGAACTTGCAGGCTAGTGCAGAACATGTAAGAAAGCTGTAATCTCAGCAATGGGATCAGTTTCTTTATGCAATTGTACACACATAGAATTTCTATAGAAACACGGAAGAGGAAGAGCACAACGGCCAGTCTACACCTCAGCAGGTCCATGCCTGATGACCACCTGAGAGCATGAATGCATCACGGAGCGGGGGGCCTGTCAAAGAGCAAGATGGCAGCAAGAAGAAATATTGGGACACTGGTGGGTGAAGTCAGAAGATAGACTTTGCCTGCTTTGCAATTTTATTAGAGATTGACCTTAACAGTGCAGAACGCCAAGAGTGATGCGAAATATAGTCTATGTGAGAATGCAAATGTGTTGTTCCAATCATTTAACAGGAGGCCATGTGACCATTGCCATTTCACTTCTTTTGGTGGCCTCAGCAGCAGGGGCAACGAGATTCCTAATGTTTGATAAGTTTGTCCCATCCAGGAAGCTTCCCAGTATGGACTCTGTCTCCCTCCATCCCCTCCCTTGGTGTCATCCCTGCCTTCAAACCAAATGGATTTTTTGAAGGGTGGATTTGTTTAGGCTTGCTTTACACAGAGCACATGCAGGGTTTTCATACTCCTCATGCTGGGGAAAGATTACGGCCTCCAAAGGGCATGTCTGCAATAGTGAAAGTGACTTCTGGCATTGGAGACAGGTGTACACCAGGACTCTTGCATCTTGCTGGAAAAAACAGCTGTTTGACTTCCAGGGTGTTATTAGATACTGAGATTAACTGAGAAGTGGGAGATGGTTTTGTTTCTCTTCTTGTAGCTCTTTTTCTATCATAAAAATTTTGATTTTCCTGGCACATTGTTTCTCAAGCCACTACTTAAGAAAGAGCAGCATGAATATAAAAAATGCAATTTGAGCAAAAACTTGGAAAGGCAAGAGGTCAAGTTGCAGAAGTTCACTCAGCCAGGAGGTTTGGCAATATTGCTGAGGGACACGGGAGCGTCTCGTCCTTCCCATGCTTCCATTCAAGAGACAGTCTAAGAAATAGTTGAGCAAGAATAGAATCAAAAGCTACCATATCCTTTCTTTCTCTTTTGAGTTTCTCAGTGTTGAGAGGATGAGAGAAGAAAGTTCTACCAAGCATTTGCAATTCCTTTTCTCAGCCAGCCAAACACAAATCCATTTACGGAGTCCAAGAAGAACAGGAGCTTAGATGAGAGAATGTCAACACTTTGGAAATCAGAATAAGTAAGGGCAATTTCTGATCTTAAATTAGCACCATGATACATGAGAAGAATTCTAATGATCCACATGTTGCACTGCTGTGATATCTTGGGAACTCAGAAGTTCTTTCATGGATCCACCATTTTGCATTTTTTTGGATCCGCCATCTTGCGTTTTTGACTAAATGGGTAGCAGAAGAGTGTTTCCCAACTCTACCTGTTCAGCCCAAAACATCATCATTACCATTTGATTAGTTTACTGGACGTTGAGACAAATTGAGAACGTGATATATTGATTGCCAGTCAGCTGGCAGTGATCCCTGACGTCGGATCATGAGTTAAATTACTTCAGTGGAAAAAGTGAAAGGGGAAGGAAGTCAACAAGGGAGTTAATATTTATTGACCATATTCAGTCTTCAGCCCTACAATAAGTACTTAACACCTGGTATTTCATATAAACCTCATAACTTTGAGAGGTATTATTATACCCATTTTACAGATGGTCAGATGAGTTGACTCAATCACTTATAGTCTCACAGCATGTGGTAGAACCAGGGAACAGACCAGTGTCACTCTGAAGCTGCAGTGTTGGGAGCAACAAGGGATATTAGGATTTTGCTTTCCACATGCCTCCATGGGCAGGAGCTGTTTTGCTAGTGAAATCTTGTAAAACTCCATTTAGGTTGAAGAGAGAGCCTACCCCAATGCCTCCAGTGGTGCCCCAGTTGAACTTTGCTTTTCAAGCTCGTGTTTTTCACCTGCATCTTTTCTCTTGCCTATGAAATACAAGCTGATACCTGTAGCCCCAGCTCAACTAGGAATCCTAGACAGGGCTTTGTGAAAACAATAATTGGGCTCAGACCCAAGAATGTGAATATAGAAACTAGGAAAGGTGGGTTGGAGCAGCCCTGCTTTGCTTGTCTGACCCTCACTCTTATCACGCTGGGAAGCGGTGTCACTTACTCTAATATGAAAAGTCTAATGAGTGTTGAAGGACTTTGCAATACTTACACATTAAACCCTACTCCATACAATCTTAGATATTTAGATTATTGCAAATTCAAAATCAGCACGTTGAAAGTGTTCCTTCATTAAATAAGCAAAGGCTGTATACTTTCTTCGTATCAGGCTCTGTGTTGGACCTGGGTATCAAATATATCCTAGGATGTGGTTCCCTGCAATTTTGTAGTAGGACAGAGGAAAGGGCAGCTTCCTCCTCCTGCGGGTATAAGAGAAGACTTCCCAGAGGAAGAAGCATTTGAGTGGGACCTTGAAGGATGAATAGGAGTTTTCCAGGAAGGGAAGACACGAATGAGGACTGGAGCTATATTACAACCATAGAAGCATATAGCATAAGTAGTATACCAATGCATATAGTACCACACAAGTTTTACAGTCACTACACTTATATTTTATTGCTGAGAGATCCTTATTAATGTTTTTAGACTGCAACAATTTTTTGTTTGTTTGTTTGAGACGGAGTTTCCCTCTGTCGCCCAGGCTGGAATGCAGTGGCGCGATCTCGACTCACTGCAACCTCTGCTTCCTGGGTTCAGATGATTCTCCTGCCTCAGCCTCCCGAGTAGCTGAGACTACAGGTGTGTGCCACCACGCCCAGCTAATTTTTTAAAATGTATTTTTAGTAGATACGGGGTTTCACCGTGTTAGCCAGGACGGTCTTGATGTCCTGATCTCGTGATCCATCCGCCTCGGCCTCCCAAAGTGCTGGCATTATAGGCATGAACCACTGCGCCCAGCCTCCTGCAACAATAGTTTAAATTGGGTTTTGTTGGTATAAATTTCAGTTACCACCATCACTATCTAGAAGTGTGATTTGGCATACTTCCATTAAGTACATGTTGGTAGAGTTTATTTGATGATTATGGGTATTGTGACAATTTTGGCCACTGTAGGAGGGTGAACAGTATTAGCAATCTAATATTTCTTGAGTTCCTGCTATTTACCAGCCTCTGCGGAACTGATTACATAAGTAATCATTTAAATTTTACAGCCCAATACATTAAGTATTTTTACCCATATTTCATAGTTGAGATAACTGAGAAGTAAAATAGGATAGTTGGACTGCTTGGGTGGAGACACCAACTCTTTACTTACCAACTATTTGTTTGACCGTGAGCAAGTTACTTACCTCTTCAAGTATCGATTTCCTCATTAGCAAATTGACAGTAATATTGGCACACTCCTCAAAGGCTTGTCAAATGATCAATTGAGATGATCTATGTTTGACCCTTGGCCCAGGCCTGGCTCCGTTATAAATCTGAATGAAGGATAGATATTTTTAATTATTATTATTCTCAGAGAGGTGGAGAAACTTGCCCACGATTGGGTATTTTAAAACCAGAGCTCAGATTCAATGACCTACAGGCAAACTTGCAAAATAACAAAGTTGTTGAAATGACACATATTATAAACAAACAAGTGAAGGCCAACATTACACATTATCAAAGGAATCCTTGTAATTATGAGGTGATGAGTAAATGGGTCTGAACACAGGAGAAAATAAATACTCCAGAATTGTGAATACCAATAAACAGAGCCAATCCACAGATTTCCCCTTCTTGGATTTATTTTTCATAGTCTCTTTTATCTGGGTTTTATCTTTTTCATAGTCTGTTTTGTCTGGATTGTTTTCCTTGGTCTTTTTCATCTTTACCATGAATATAGGGATATAGAGGGTAAAATAATAAAATAAGCTTATAATTAGGTCTGTTATGTAGTTTCTTTTACATTTTGCTGTCTTTTCAGTGATCAGCTTTTCAACTATTGCCAAGTTGAACGCTGCTACTTAACAACCACAAAACTGGCAGAAGTCATTCCAATTCAAAACCATTTTAACCCTGGAAATCTTACTAAAGTTAGCTTCTACAAGGAATCCAAATCTGAGGTTGGGCGATTTAGCTGAGAATTACGGTTGAAGGAGAAGCTTGTGAATGACATTTAGCAAGTGCTGTTTTCTGTTGACACTGTTGTTTGATAATCCCTTCAAATTTGTGAGTTTAAGCTTCAGGCTGATGCCTGGAACTCATAAGAGACACTGACCTCCCTTGAAGACATAGCTCTTAAATGTCCAGTGGCAATGTTATTTGGACTTTAGCTTTCACAATGCTTTCTGGAGCGATGCACTTTAATAATATGGCAAATCCTAGGAAACCACTTTTTCTGGTTGTAGCTAAGGCTTAAGTGGTGTCTCCTGACTCAACAATCTATGGAGAACATATCAGTCTATGTAATAAGGTGTCCCTCAGAGCAGTAGGCAGAAGGAAGAAGGTTGTTTACATAAATTTTTGCTTGAAGAACCCTAATTTTAAATTTTCACCACAGCTAAATGATCAATCAAATGGTGAACAAACTTGTGCAGGTCCCTTTGTAGATGTGTTCTCATTAAACCTGTGTCTGCTATGACCTGGAGTCTAAGCTCCATTGATTTCTCAGTTTCCTTACATAGTTTATTTTGCTTTAAATCCTGGAAGGGTCCCCCACACTTTTTCAGAGTGTGGTTGGCTCCCGTTAGCAGTGAGGGTAACTGAAAAGAATCTCCTTGGGAGCTTGTGACAGGGCTGTATTAGAATTTATTAGTTTCCCCATCCCTCCTACCTTTATTTAAGCTGCTGAGCTGTTGTTGCTTCCTCACGGCTAACGCAAGGCGATTACTCATTTTATTAGAGCACTTGCCTGGAGACTATTAAGCCTTCTGGAAGGATAGATGAATCACAATTGCTAGTTTATCTTGTCTGCAAGCAGGAGAGTTGACTTAGTAAACTGTGAAACTTCTTGGTCTAGATCAGAGCCTAAATCAAGCCCCAGTACCTTTAGGAGGGTCACTTGCTGGTCCCTAATGGATATTGATATGCTTTGGCTGTGTCTCCACCCAAATTTCATCTTGAATTTTAGCTCCCCTAATTCCCACACATTGTGGGAGGGACCCAGTGGGAGATAATTGAATTATGGCTGCAGTTTCCCCCATACTGTTCTCATGGTAGTGAATAAGTCTCATTAGATCTGATGGTTTTATAACGAAAAACCCCTTTTGCTTGGTTCTCATTCTTTCTCTTGCCTGCTGCCATGTAAGACGTGCTTTTTACCTTCCACCATGATTGTGAGGCCTCCCCCGCCACGTGTAACTGTGAGTCCATTAAATCTCTTTTTCTTTATAAATCACCCAATCTCTGGGTATGTCTTTATCAGCAATGTAAAAATGGAGAAATTCAGATATTTTTCACACATGGTCCCTCTAATGTATAGACCAACTTGTTACTACACATCCCTGTTTGAGTTTACCCCACCTACATTGGAAGCAAGTGGGAAAAGGTGGTTTTGGCTCAGAAGGCAGACAGTTGCACTGCATATGGTTTATGACTAAGTTAAAATGGGGAGGTAATGTTTAATGGGTATGGAGTTTCAGCTGGGAGAGAGTAAAAGGTTCTGGAGTTGGATGGTGGCAATGGTTGTACAACAGTGTGGAGGTACTTAATGCCACTGAACTGTACACTTAAAAATGGTTACAATGGTCAATTTTATGATGTGTATCTTTTACCACAGTTGTGTTAGTTTGCTAGGGCTGCCATAATAAAGTACCACAGACTGGCAGGCTTAAACAATAGGAATTCATGTTCTCACAGTCCTGGTGGCTGCAAGTCTGAGATCAATGTTATCAGCAGGGTTGGTTTCTTCCAAGGCCTTGATCCTTGCCTTGCGGCATAAACAGCAATTACTTTTGCACCAACCCAATTGATGGCTGTCTTCCCTGTGTCTTTATGTAGTCTTCCTGCTGTACCAGTCTGTGCCCTAATTTCTTCTTCTTAAAGCAAAACCAGGCTGGGTGTGGTGGCTCACGTCTGTAATCCCAGCACTTTGGGAGGCCAAGGCTGGCAGATCACTTGAGTTCAGGAGCTCGAGACCAGGCTGACCAACACGGAGAAACCCTGCTTCTACTAAAAATACAAAATTAGCTGGGTGTGGTGGTGTGCTCCTGTAATCTCAGCTACTTGGGGGGCTGAGGCAGGAGAATCACTTGAACCCAGGAGGTGGAGGTTGTGGTGAGCCAAGATCACGCCATTGCACTCCAGCCTGGGCAACAAGATCGAAACTCCGTTGCAAAAAAAAAAAAAAAAAAAAAAAAAAATTGAAACCAGTCAGATTGGATCAGGGCTCATCTATATGACCCATTTTAATTTCATCTTTTAAAGGCCCTATTTTAAATACAGCCACATTGTGAGTACAGGGGCTGGGGCTTCAATGTATAGATATTGAGAGAACACCATTGAGCCTATAACAACAACAATATCAATAGAGAAGATTGGACTTGGTTATCAGAGGGAGCCCAAAACTTCACACTTTTCACTCAGGTTCTTAAAGGAAGCACAAGAGTTTCCTGCAAGCTTTTTAGAAATCCACATACCTAGGGACTTTTAGAATCTCCATACAAAGACCAAGGTGTTTTCAAATACCTCTCTGAGAGCCAAGTCTGGCAAGACAGAAGGACAAAATCCAGTCCCTTTTATAGCTAAAACTAGAGCTATTTGTCATTGGAATCTGTTTGAGAATGATGATTGTATTTAATTTTTAAAAATTGACTTGTATGGAGGTAAATTATGTTGTTTCTACACATGAATCACTTACATGGTGATTTGCCCCTGGTAGGTCTAAGAGATAAAGAATTTTACAGTGTGAGCCAGAGGCACCTATAGTCCCAGCTAATCAGGGGGCTGAAGCAGGAGGATCTCTTGAGCTCAAGAGTTTTAGGCCAGTCTGGGTAACATAGTGAGACCCTAAATTTAAAAAAAAAAAAAGTATTTTCTGATGTTGATGGCCAGGGTCAGAGTGGAATAAGACCAACATGCAGGAAGGGGATCACCAAGATGCTTTTCCACCAAGCAAAGGTTCCAGGGCGAGGGGCTGCTCCCACTCTGCCCCCATCCGCTTTGCTCCACCACCACATCGCACTGTCCTGCCTTGGCCAGCATCGTCCCTAAAAAATAAATGGTCAGTTCTGTCCTGGGTGAGTCACATTCCACTCAAGGTAGGTAAAGAGTTGCTCCTTACCCCAAGTCTTCATCAGTCATCACGTCCTGTAACATGGCAAAGTGGAAGGATAAGAAATTGAAGTCAGGAGTCCTGGGTGAGTCTGCTCATTCTAACTGTTGAACAATCCCACCTTTCTGACCTCAGTTTACTCATTTGTAAAACGTGGGACCTGCGAAGACAGCAATAATGTGGAGTGGTTATGACCATAGGCTTGAGTTAGAGAGACCCAGAAGACTTGTCATTTTGAATAAGTAACTTGCTTTGGACTTCCGTCTCTTTGAGATGCAGTGAATGATGGGCCCTTTCTCATAGAGTGGTAAGACTTAAATGAGATCATGCACATTGACTCCACATAGAGTTAGGACACGTTGTTATTGTCAACATCTCTCCAGGTTCCAACTTTCCCTTAATGTTCAGAACACTTCAAACTCCTGGTTCTGTGATTCCAAATCACAATTAAGGTAATTTGATCTGATTAAAGGAGTAACTGTCTTTCTTGGAAGAAGTATAAAGAGAGAAAATTGTAGTAGTAAATATAGACTCTGCCTAAGTTTTATGAAAGTTGAAAAAAGTCTTACTTCCAGCTGGGCACGGTGGCTTATGCCTGTAATTGTAGCACTTTGGGAGGTCGAGGTGGGTGGATCACTTGCGGTCAGAAGTTTGAGACCAGCCTGGCCAACCTGGTGAAACCCCATCTCTACTAAAAATACAAAAAATAAAAAATAAATTTGCCAAATATGGTGGTGGGCACCTGTAATCCCAGCTACTGGGGAGGCAGGCACAAGAACTGCATGAACCTGGGAGGCGGAGGTTGCAGTGAGCCAGGATGGCGCCACTCTACTCCAGCCTGGGTGACAGAGCAAGACTCTGTCTCAAAAAAAAAAAAAAAAAAAAAAAATCCCGCTTCCTCCTCAGGGGCATAGTTTACTTTGATAATAAGTTTCAGGTGAATCCACCTCTCACTTTCTAAATACCCATGAATCAAGGCCATCAGGTTCACTGCAATGGACTCCAACACAGGTGCTCAACATTCCCTGAAACGGCCCCAACACTGTTAGATGCATTAGAGAAAAGCAGTGTCCATACCTTACCCAGGTGATGAACCAAGGAAAACAAAGCACTAAAGGGAAAGGGAGGCAGTTACAACCGTGCCGCTGTGATTAGCTAGAAGAAAGAAATCCATACATTTCTTCCTGAGTACACAAAATTAAAAGCAAAAAAGCAGAAAATAAAAAGATTGCTCTCTCATTCTCCTAGCTGCTGGTCTCCTTGTAACATTTGTCAGACAGGAAGAAATCGATGGCTTCATTAGGCCAGACACAGAGCTTGGGAGATGTAAAGTGTGCACAGCCTCTTTCTCGTGGTCAGCTGGAAAACGCATGATCCCCATTCAAATTCTGGGCTCAGGCAAGCGAGATTCTTTTCCCCATCTTACCCGTAGAACCACCTAACACGTGCCGCTTCTTTGGGCTTTTGTTGCTGTTAAGAAAGTGCAGTCTGGCCCTATTTATTTATTTCAACAAAGGGTTGTAAGAACAAATGTTTCAAAGCTGCTTGGAGGAGTCGCTGAAAGGAAGACTTCTGGGGATGTGGGAGAATTGTTGAATTTTCATGCTAAATTATGGTGACCTTTGATAAGTGTTTTCAAAATACTAACAAGAAATAAATCACTGATGGCATTTCAAGCCACAGCCGGAGCCTGAGCCTCTGGGAACTTGGAGACAGTAGTGTGGTGAAGAAGTATAATCTTGATTTTGGAAACTATTTGTAAGTTAGGAGAACAAGGGTAGGGTGGAAAAAGGAAATTTAGAAATCAGTTATGCCCTCAGCTGTTATATCTTTGCAAATGCAGTTTCAAGGACAGGCTGTTCCTTGGACTCAGTTACTGAGTGACCTGAGAACCAACACGGTAGAGCTCTCTCCAGGGAAGCCCCCGGTTTCAAACCCAGAAAGCCTCCCAACAGATTAGAAATGTAGAGCCCCAACCTGCCAAAGCGGTCCAGAATGTCGGGAAAAGTGATAGAGCTTGTGTTGCGAGCTTGGTGGGCAGCTCAGGCCAGATGTCAGTTGGGAAGAAGGCACTGGGGGAACTGAGCACCATTCAACCATTCAAAACATGGCAAGGCATGGCCCACTCCCTCATGCTGAATTTCAACAGGCATATTTACAACCAACTGTAGTGTGCATTAAAGGGAGCTCAGGCCATTGGGAGGACATGACCTTGAGAAGTCAGAGAATGCCGGAGCTCCCCTCTCTCTGGGCCCTGCTGAGTGGGCCTCCCTTCCCCAGTAGGCAAAGAACTTAAGAATCAGCAGAGTGTCTTCAGTAGGCAACTCGGTGTGAGGAGTGGAGAGGCTGTAAGGAAGATGAGGGAGGGGAAAGTAACTGTGGGGAGGCGTTGCCTCAAGGTTCACTGAGGTGCTTATGTTCAGTCTCGAACCCTCACTTCTCTGTCTTGGTTTGTTCGGGCTGCTATAACAAAGTAAGTGCTAATACCATAAA
The DNA here is from genome assembly GCF_000001405.40 of Homo sapiens. Taxonomy (NCBI): domain Eukaryota; kingdom Metazoa; phylum Chordata; class Mammalia; order Primates; family Hominidae; genus Homo; species Homo sapiens. The sequence goes on along the minus strand of NC_000010.11, from coordinate 14,277,578 downwards.
CTGGGTGGTTTAACAACAAGCAACTATGGCTCACAGTTCTCGAGGCTGGGAAGTCCAAGATCAAGGTACTGGCAGATTTGGAATCTCCTTTTTGGCTCATAGGTGGCACCTTCTCTCCTCATTCTTACAGGATGGAAGGGGTGAGGCAGCTCTCTGGGGTCCCCTTTACAAGCACACTAATCCCATTCATAATAGTTCTACCCTCATAACCTAATCACCTCCTAACCGCCCCCCTTCCTAATACCATCACCTTGCAGGTGAGGATTTCCACATGTAAATTTGAGGGGACATAATTACTCAGACCAGAGCCTCTTTCATCCTTTCTGGGGCTCAGATTCAGATTTGAACCTTTGTTCCTGTTACTGTGAGGGCTTCTTCTGAGAATCTCATGTGGTCAACATTCAGATCCCAGCCTGGGGCCAGGCACCGTGGCTCACGCCTATAATCCCAGCAGTTTGGGAGGATGGAGGAGGATTGCTCAAATCCAGGAGTTCAAGACCAGCCTGGGCAAGTTGGCAAAACCCCGTCTCTACAAAATATACAAAAATTAGCTAGGTATGGTTGTGAGTACCTGTAATCTCAGCTACTTGGGAGGCTGAGGTGGGAGAATTGCTTGAACCCGGGAGGCAGAGGTTGCAGTGAGCCAAGACTGTGCCACTGCACTCCAGCCTGGCAGAGAATGAGACCCTGACTCAAATAAATAAATACTTAAATAACAATAATAATAAAATCCCAGCCCGAAGTTTAGACCATGCCTGCAACATTGCCACAAATGTGAGTAGTGTGGGGCATAAAGAACAGAGCAGGAAGATGGGAAGGTCAGGCTTCACACCATAGAGAAGCAAACAAACCAACAGGACAGTGAGGCCCTGGCTGGCTCTGGAGATGCGAGGATCCTCTCATCTGTTTCCTTCTGGCTGTGGGGCCCCATGTAGGGGCTATCTCTTCTCACACAATTTTACCCAACTTTGGGCTTCCCTGGGCAGGAACGGAAGCCAGAGGCAGAGGGCCAAAGTGGCAAATTGTACCTTAAAATGGGGACACGGAGTTCCTGAGCCAAAAGGCCACATGACTGGGGCCTTTTCATTAAGAGATTCTCAAGGGAGATTTCCCACTGAATAGGTTCCCTGAGAGGCAGGAGTAAAGCAAAAGACGTGTGGTGAGGTTTGTGCCAAGTGGCTCTTGTGGCCCTTCTTGGGAGGCCACACAGAGGAAGTTGCCAAGTTGAGTCAAAGCTGTACCAGTTCATGAAGCTGGTCACACGTAGCTTCTTTCCAACTCTTCCTCCACAGCTCTCATGAGCAACCCAGTGCCCTTTCATGGCCAGTGTCACAGGCAGCATCTGGCAGGCATGACAGTGAGGCAGGAATTTTAGAACGAAAAGGGACCTTGCAAGTTGACTAATATAAAATACTGTCTTCCGGTGGGAAAAAACTATCCCCCAGAGGTCATGTGATTTGACGAATGCCAAGCATCAACAGGGCCAGGACCAGAGACAGGTCTCCTGATTCATTCTGTCATTTTGTTTGTTTTTGTTTTTTGAGACAAGGTCTTTCCTTGTTGTCCAGACTGGAGAGCAGTGGCACATTCATAGCTCACTGAAGCCTCCACCTCCAGACTCAAGTGATCCTCCCACCTCAGCCTCCTGAGTAGCTGAGACTGCAGGCATGCATCACTACTCCTCGCTAATTTTTGTGTTTTTTGTAGAGATGGGGTCTTGCTGTATTGCCCAGGTTAGTCTTGAACTCCTGGACTCAAGCGATCCTCCTTCCTTAGCGTCCCAAAGTTCTGGGATTACAGATGTGAGCTGCCACTCCCGGCCACTCACCATTTTGTATTTTTGAAGACAGGGGTGGACTCTTGAGAAAAAAGGCTTAACGCTTTACCTAAATTCAGAGATGCTTGCAGTTAACCACCTTGACCATCTCATGGAAGTCTAGTTATACATAAGAAAAGGAAAAAAACTTTAAAACGAACTGAACTTAAGAAATGCCATCTGAAAGTGTAAACTGGCTTTATTATCTGCCCTTGGATGTTTTTCTTCATCCTTTCTCCCTTTCTTTGCACTGCCTAACATTTGTGCCTAGCCTTAAAATATTCAGATAGCCACCAACCATGTGGGTGCTTATGGAAACACAAGTTGTGTCTGGACATTTTGGTTAAAAGGAAAGATAAGGTTGCGATACACTCACCCCGATGTGTTTTGCCCATCTCCACCATGTAACATTGTCCAGTGTTTAGACTCTTCTTATAAAGTTTAAGTGGATTTTTAAGTGTCTAATTCTGTTTGGGAGCAGCTGGGATTCTGGCAATCGCTGTTACTGTCCTTGAGTCGGTCTAGTTGCTATGACTTGACTATAAGTCCTGGGAGGTCAGAGTCAAGAGAGGCTTCCTGTATGGTCTCCATGAATCTGGAGTGGGACAGAGAGCCTGACACCCAGGAGAATTCAGGGGGAATAGACTGGTGCTGACCAGCAGCTAGAGTCACAGTTTGGGTTTTGAAGGATTGACCAGGGCAGGAAGTGTACACCAGAGACTGTTGCAAACAGGGCAGACCTGCTAGAACAGTCTAAGATCACACCTTGTGGGAGAGACAGAAGTCAACCTGAAAACTGAAATTTCCGTGTGAAGACTCAAGGACAGGAGTAAGAACTTATTCAGAATTCAGATGCCAAACCGAAATAGCAGAAGGGTGAGGACCTGGAAAAGGAAGGGTCAGGTGACTCCTGGGAGCATCCCTGGTGCAGCCCTGTCTGACTGGCTAAGTCAGGGACTTGCCGGGTGCTACCAAGACGTGGAATTGGGCTGGACAGGAGGCATTTGAAAAATACACCTGGCTGAGCAATACATTAATGATCATGTTTCTAAGAGGTGGGAGAGGATCCTCCTCTTTTGTCCCTTCATTTTTCCAATTCTCCCTTCAGCGTCCCTGGCGGAGGTTCAGCCTTTGTGTTTCCAGCCTTGGAGAAATATCAAGAGCCCTGGTTCAGTGAGAATCTTTGTCTGCAGCCACACTGGGGCGGCAGCTCTAACAGCTTTCCAGGAACTGGCTGGAACTCCTTCCTCCTGTCCCCAAGTTTCGAGATCTCCTATGAGCTTTTCCTTTCCTCAGAGCGAACCACACCTCTCTACTAGTGAAGTGGCAGAGTGGATAAGAGTGTGGGCTCTGGATCCACCACTATGTGACCTGAGGTGGGTTACCTCACCTCTCCGTTTCCTTAACTGTATCATGCATAGGAAGAGCTTAGAACTGGGGTTGTCCTCAAGAATGTTCATGGTGATCGTAATCTGCTAAGAGATAGGGCAGAGAGTTGTCGTCAAGTTCTGCCATCCCTCTAGGGATCGACTTACATGGGTGGCTGCCCCAGGCCTGAGATGATGGCCAGTGGCGGCCTGCCTGGCACCTCTCTGACTGCGTTCAGGGCAGGACCCAGCCCTTCCTCCAGGCCTTGCTTCAAGGCACATTCCTTGTCTGTACACAGCACCTCCCTTTGGGATTCTCTGCACGAACACGCTTTTTATTTTCTCCATGGAATTGAGCATTCGTCATAATTATTTTTTGGAGTTCATTTCTCCCCCCACCATCTCCCTCAGCATCCTCTTTCTCACCAGTCTCCACCCTTCACAGGTCAGGGTTGATGTTTTATTCTTCATGTAACTGATTGTTCTATAAGAGATTCCAGCACAGTGCCCTGCACTAGTAAGTGCTCAAAAGTGTTTGTTGATTGACTAAATAAATCTCAACTTTTCTATGAGACAGCCTGGCTCTCAATATCCATCAATTTTTATCAAAGGACCCAAAGTCCTCCTCTCCACTCTTCCTGGAGGACCTGGAGCCCCATTGCAAACAAGAACCCTGGAGACTCCATTGACCACCTAGAACCTCGAGCCATAGGTGTGTGGAGATTAGAGCTCATCATATCTCTGGCCATGTCTGTGTCTAGTGTTTGAATCTGGAAGAGTTTATGAAGAGGTTAGAATTCATTTCTATCTTAATCCAGGCTCTGTTCCAATCTGAAAAGATGAGCAGAGTAGACTGCTAATTTCATTCACTTAAAAAAAAATCATCAGCTTACATGAGCTGACCCATTAATATTACTAATTTTAATATTTCATTTGGAAAAATAATTTTTGCAATGTTGTAAGAAGTAAGTGTTATGAGTAGGAGATGAAAGTTGAATGTTTGAACATAGATCAACGGAATAAAGGGGCGTCCCTACTTTTCTAAATCTGGCCATGTAACTTCAAATCACCCAAGCTCTCTAAGATGGCAGAATTGGTTATTTCATTGCCCCCTAAAAAGATATATATATTTTTTTTCTGAGGCGGGTTCTCACTTTGTCACCCAGGCTGGAGTGCAGTGGTGCAATCTTGGCTCACTGCAACCTCCACCTCCCAAGCTCAAGCAATCCTCCCACCTTAGCTTCCTGAGTAGCTGGGACCACAGGTATGCACCACCATGCCTATTTGTATGTGTGTGTGTGTGCATGTGTGTGTGTGTGTGTGTGTGTGTGTGTGTATTTCTGGTAAAGACAGGGTTTGGCCATGTTGCTCAGGCTGGTCTTGAACTCCTGAGCTCAGGCAATCCGTCTGCCTCAGGTTACCAAAGTGCTGGGACTACAGGTGCAGGCCACTGTGTCCAGCCAAGATGCTTTTAAAAGGCAATAGGAAGATATTTCAAAGACCAAGACGTCTATTTGAGTAAAATATTCATAAATCAAATTGGTTCAAATACTAACCTCAAACACATCTGAGAAAGTGAAATTCAAGCCCCATTGTGAAGTAAGAGATTAAGGCAAGTCAATATTCCTGACCACCTTCAAGGAAAGTCAGCCAGAGAAAGACAAATGATGTGGCTTCAAAGTGTCACTCACTGAAATTGCCATGACTTTAATGGAATGTAGCTGCACTAGGTTGTTATGCTTCCTGTACAGCCTGCAGAACCATGAGCCAGTTAAACCTCTTTTCTTATAAATTCTTGAGAGAATTGGTCTTAGAGAGAGAAAGTGATCCTACCTTTAGGAAATTCTAGAGAAGCAAAATGTCAGGTTGGTAATAGACGTGTTAGGATGGAGAGTGTCTTGGTCGGTTTGGCTACAGATGACTTTGACCTCCATTTCGTCATCTTTCACAATAAGGTCAATGAAGTCAGTGAAAGGGATGACGGTCATAGATTGGCAGAGACATATAGCCCTCACCCCATGACCGTGTGCACCCCTGGACTACCTGGTCTCCTCTGGATGCAGGTTAGGGTCATGTGATTCCTTCTGGCCAATGGTTGTGGGGGAAAGTGACATGTGTCCCTTTCTAGCTGAGGGGTTCAGAGCCAGCATGGCCATTCCATGTCTTTCCATCCAGCTTGGCAACTATGCTTTCCTAATGGCATAACTGCAAGCTGGGGTAAGTTTACCTGAGCTGCATTGACCTTTACATGAGAAAAAAAACAAACCTTTATTTTATTAGATTGTTTTGGGATATCAGGATTTGTTCATGCTGCTGTATGGCCTATCCTAACCTGATCAATATAGGTTTTTTTTCTGATTTTCTTTGCCAGTGTGGTTGGGCAAAAGAACCAAAAAATTAATTATTAACTAAATTAAATTATTATAAAAATTAATTATAATGTACTGAGTAAGCTAATTATGAGGTAACAGCCACAAGAGTTCCACTGATAAGACTTCATAAATGCCGTGACATTGGCCACGCTTCAGTTTCTGAGAGCACTGCAAGTTTATTTCACTCCAGCTAAGTGCTTATGACGTGCATTTTTAAAAATGCAAATCATGCTTCAGGTCAGCAGAAAAATGCTTCCCTGACTTCCCAGTGAGCTTTACATTTTTATAGATGCCAGTCATTAAATAAGAAAGATATTTAATGCAAAGTTATCCCAGATCCAGCATTGTAAGAAGATGAACAAAGAAGAAGGCAATAATAGAACACAGCTAGACAGTGGGTCCTTGAATGACTTTCCACTCAACAGCATTTCTTTGTAACATTGATGAGAAAAAGAAAAATCACTTCCTGGTGGAGGCCACTCTCTGTGTGGAGTGAGCCTACTCTCCCACCCGTCTGCAAGGGGTTTCTTCAGGTCCTCCTGTTTTCCCACACATCCCAAAGATATGCATGTGAGGTTCATGTCCCAGTGTGAATGTGGGTTTGTATGTGAGTGCCCTATAAAGGGATAGCATCCTATCTAGGGCTGGGCCCTGCCTTGCACCCTGAGCTGCTGGGATGGGCTCCAGCCACCTGCAACCCGGACCTGGAATAATGGGGTAAATAATTTTATTTTTACTAACTTTTAAAAAAATGTATGTATAGTGATGTACTGTGGATATTTGTCCCTGCCTGAATCTCACGTTGAAATGTGATCCCCAGTGTTGGAGGTGGAGACTGGTGGGAGGTGTTTGGATCATGGGGGCCATCTCCTTGGTGATAAGTGAGCCATCACTCTGAGTTCATCTGAGACCTGGTCATTTAAAAGTGTGTGGCACCCACCAATCTTGTCCCTGTGCCCGCCATGTGTTACACTTGCTCTCCTTTGCCTTCTACCATGATTGGTAGCTTCCTGAGGCCTCCCCAGAAGCAGATGCCGCTGTTACACTTCCTGTACAGCCTGCAGAACCATGAGCCAATTAAATCTCTTTTTTTATAAATTACCCAGTCTCAAGTGTATCTTTGCAGCAATTTAAGAATGGCATAATACATATAGTTCACATCTATCTAAGTGTTTAGTATTAGGAGTGATTTGGTCTTTACTTAGAAGTTTGGTGATGTTTTTGTGACCCGAAACGTACCGTGGGAACGTCACTCTTATGTATATCAATTAGCCCACAGGAAAATCGTTCTGTTTTATGTTGTTTCACTTAAAGTCGCAGTTTCCAAGAGCCTATTCACAGGGTTAAGTGAGAATTTCCTGTGCTCTAACAGTTGTCATAATGGCACCTATCATGAGCAGCTTTGAGAGTTGGCTGTATAAATGATTAATAGCAATAATGGATTCTTAGGGTTAATATGCAGCAGGCCGACTGACTTCTGCAGCTATGGTCAGCCTAACTCCAGATGGCTCTCTGCAGAGGGTGGGAGGAATTTCCCACTAAGAAGATGGATAGGTGAGGAATTTGGAAATCTCCAGATCATAGACCATGGTGGTAGATAGGATAATAGCCTCCCAAAGATGCCCTTGTCCTAATCCCCAGAACCTGTGAAGATGTTACCTTATATTGCAAAAGAGACTGTTGAGTCAGGGTTTTCCAGAGAGACAGAACTGACATGATAACTATTTAGGGAGAGAGACGAGAAGGAATTTATCAGGGGAATTGGCTCATTCAACTGTGCAGTGAGAAGTCCCATGATGGGCTGTCTGCAGGCTGGAGAATCAGCAAAAACCCATAACATAACTCAGTCTAAGTCCAGAGGCTTCAGAACCAGAGAAGATGATGGTATCTCTCTCAGTCAGTCTGAGGCCAAAGGCCCAAAAGCCTGGGGGGCCACTGGTTTTCTTCCTGAAGTCCCAAAGCCAGGAAACCTGGAGTCCTGACATCCAAGGACAGGAGAAGATGGGTGCCGCAGCTCCAGGAGAGAGAGCAAGAATCCATCCTTCTTCAGCCTTTTCGTCCCATCTGGGCCCCACTGAGGACAGATCTTCCCCACCCCTGGGGCAGCTCAAACATTCTAATCAAATGCCAAATCACCTGGGTTTCTCTTTCTGCAGGAGAGGGGCTGGTTCGGTCCTGCTGAAGCATTGAGAATAATTAATGCAGTGATTCAAAATAAATAATTAATTCCCTTAATTACCATCCGTTAATTATTATCACTTAATTCAGTCACATTGACACCCAAAATCAGCCATCATAGGGACCTCACAAAAGGGATTAAGCTTAAGGGCTTTGAGATGTGGAGAGTATCCTAATTATGCAGGTGGACCCGGTCTAATCATGGCAATGCATCCCTTAATTGCATGGCATCCCTTAGACGCAGATAACTTTTCTCTGTTGGGGTCAGAGAAAGAGATGCGATAATGGAGTAGGGTCAGAGAGATGTTAACGCCACTGGCTCTGAAGGCAGAGGAAGGGGCCACGAGCCAAGGAATGCAGGGGCCTCTAGAAGCTGGGAAAGGCAAGGAAATGGGTTCTTTTTAGGGCCTCCAGAAGGAACACAGCCCAGTGGACACCCTGATTTTAGCCCCTTGAGACCCTGAACTGCAGAACCATAACATAATACGGTCGGGTTGTTTAAGCTGCTAAACTCGTACGAATTTTTTACAGCAGCAGTAGACAATGAATACAACCATGGATGATTTTCAGGCTACTCATAAAGCAGCCAGTTTCAAATACAACTAACCTATGCTACAGTTGCTGTTTTGAGCATATTTTGTGCTGATCCTGTGAATAGATGCATTACTGATGCTGCCTACATAGTTGCCTTTACTACTCCAGGAATAGCCACCACCCCATCCCACAGCCTTGCCAATCCAGTGGCATCCCAGAGCTATTATCATGGGACTTCATGGCTCTGTTTGTAATCAACTAGAAGTAGAAATATATCTGAGGTTTCCCATTTCTGCCCCTAATTATTTTCCCCAAACCTCAGAAAGTTTTGTCACTGGCTTTCATCCTAACGGCATACGCTTAGTGGGTAATCATTACCCAATTGTTGCTTTAAATATGGGGAGATTTTCCTAACCCAACTTCCATTTGATTTGGAGTGTTTAGAAGCACAAAATACGTAGAAACTCTGGAAAAATTAGCCTAGCTCCCTGGGAGTTTTCACATAGCAGAAATGCTGACTTATCTCTATTGGCTATTGGCTTAGCCCAGGAAGAACATTGCTTCTGATTGTCTCATGCATACACATGAATTGCAGATAAAGAGTCCCCAAGCTTCGTGTTTCCATAGGGACATGTTGTAGATTTCATCACGCATCAAATATTTCAGGCTTAAAATGGCTTTCTCAAAATATTAGTTAATCTTCACTAGTTTGTTGGAGTCCTTGGCAGGTAGGTAGCATGTGAAGAACTGCAGCTATTTCACTGCTGTAGTTTTCTTATGAAGATGAATGAAAAAATAAATAAATCGAGGGAGTCTTACAATATATTACATTTGCACTGTTTAGGACTATTTGCAGAAATAAGTAGATCTCAGGCTGAAGCAATATGGATAAAGAGCGTCTAAGGTGTGCATTGATCAGACTAATGACATTTATAAAAAGAAATCATGTTCAATGATCTGTCGTGGGCATTGTTGTGGATGGCACAAGTGGCCTATCATGTTGAGAGAGACTGCCTTTTGCTACGTAACATTTATATTGAAAGGTTTTATTTGTTTTGTAGTTCACAGCTGTGCCATAAGTTGACCATTATATTTTAGATTTGAAGCAAAACAAAACAAAACAAATATATAGACAGATGATAGATAAAGAACACAGTAATTATTTCTCATTTTTTTAGTTCTCATTATTTAAGTAATAATAATGGCAATAATGACACTCTTTTGATCATGTTCCAGAGCACTCTGGCATATACTATCCCATTTGATGCCTGCAACACAATCATGAAATAGGTGGCGTATTATTTTATAAATTTTAAAACCCAGATTAGTTACCCACTAATGAATGACTACACCAAAGCTAGATTTAAGATACTGATGTTTTAATGTTAGGCTGTATTCTAACATTTGTAGTTCAGTGATTTAGATTCTAGAATGCATTATTTCCTATAAAACAATCCTACAGAGTGATTAGGTATCTAGATTAGGTCTTGTGTCATAATATGGCAATCGAGTTTTCCCAAAGCTAAGTGATATTCTCCAGGACACCTAGTTAGTAAATAAAGGACCCAAATTTAAAATTCAGAGAAATGTGCTCATCTCTTTATATTTATTTATCCCAACGCAAACCTGACTTGTACATTTTGAACCAAGACTTATTTGTAGTTTTAAATTCATGTATTCTAAATGAATTCCTAATTGCTTGAATTGTAGACGTTGAAAGAAAATGAAGAGTATAGTCCATTCTATATATAAAAATAGATATTCCAACCAGAAAGGCTACTGCCAAATGGTGTATGAGTAAAATAAGGGCCTTGAAATTGGACAGACCTGAGCTTAGGCTGTGGCATCTGGCATCTTTGCTTTCTCCTTGACATGACAGGTTACTTCCAGGCCTCTAATTTCCTGATCTTTAAAATGGAGCAATACCTACTTACCAGGGATATTATAAGAATTAAATGAGAAGATATATGAAGACATCCCTTTGAGCTGCTTCTATTTTTTCCTTATTTCTTCTCTTCCTTATTGTAAACCTCTAGACAGATGTGTGTTCCCAAGAACTCAGCCACACACAGAGCGTCATGTGTCTGAAAGAGACATGAAATTTATAAAAATAGCTTTAAAAATCCCAAGAGCTTGACCTCATACCTTTCTTAACCTCACTTTTTCTCTTCAGCCATAGACTCTATTTGTAGAATTCAGGCCCATTATATCTTCTTTGTGTACATTTGTTCTAACTCTGTTAATCACACCTATCTGCCTGCCCCAGGCGGAGTCTCTCGAATAAAATGTGTTTTGTCATTACACAGCACTAGTGACACTAAAACTTAAATGCTTCTTAGAAATTCCAAAGAAGAAAGAGTCTTGTTCTTGTTTATTTCCATGAAACATTGTGGGAACCCATTGTATGTATGCTAGCTCAATGTTATAAGTCATATATTGACTACTCTATGTATTTTTATATACATCTAGTCACCCTAAAATTCCTAGTGTTCCCCAGAAAGTAGTAAAAGGATATAATTTATAATAGTATAATTAACTTTAAACTACATTTGCAATTACATTTCTTGGAGTCTCTTTATGATAAGAAAGAAAATAAAGGCAGTTCAATTAGTGCATACTCTGCAGTATAAAAACATGATTTTTTCTCCTCCCATTTTTAAAACTTTATTTTATGAATGTGTTCTCTTTATATCATGAATCTTTTGGGGAAACATTTTTCAAACAGATTTTTCTGCTTTATGTTTTTCTGAGTGTTTGTGTGAAACAACCCTACATAGCCACACACATACACACACACACACACACACACACAGAGCACAACATCTACTAGGGATCCTAAGCATCAAATGAAGCAGAAATGAGATTTACTTCATCTAGTAGTTCAATGGCACTGTAACAGAAAATATTATTTATAATCTTAAAGCATCTCCCCAAACTTTATCTAACTTTGGGAAAAAGTACTTGGGGGATAAACAGTGGTTCTTAATTGGGGGCTATTTTGTTCCCTCTTCCCAGCCCCAGGACATTTGTCATTGACTGGAGAGATTTTTGGTTGTCACAATTCGGGGGCACTATTGGCTTTTAGTCGGTAGAGATGAGGTATGCTGCTTAACATCCTACAATGCACGGGAAAGCCCCACCCCCTCCCACCCCCAGGACAAAGAATTCACCAGTCCAGAAAGTCAGCAGTGCCGAGGTTGGGAAAGCTGCTCGAAACCCACACCCGTTCAGTTCACTGGTTCCAGTGGCCCAGCAGTATTTATGTTTGTTGCTTCCAAGTCTTGAGTCTTCCTCCTTTAAACTGCAGATTTTGGCCCAATTGACACCTTGATCATTCATTCTTCATGACTCTATGTGATAAGGTCTTTACCATGCCTTTGCGCTTATAGAGGTGAAGCATTTGCCCAACACAAAGAGGGTGTGATGAGGCACCCCAGGAGGGATTTATGATAAATGGTTCCCTCTCCCTTCCCAGCTGCTCTGGCAACCAACAGTACATACAGGGGCAGTCACATTCCCGACCCTTCTGGAAGGAACTGATTTGGGATTTTAATATGCAGATCTGAACTATCTCTATTTCCTAGAATTCCATAGCTGCATCCTATGACCTAGAACCATTCCTCTATCCTTCTCATGTTGATACATGGGCCACTTGGTTTTAATCCCAGTTGGGATAATCAGAAATCACTAGAGAAATCGTCAGTTTTGCTTTTCTACCCTCAGAATGCACTGAGTTTTTGAAAGCTATATTCTTATAGTTTCTAACCTCTACAAATTGTGTACATGGGTCCTTGTTTCAAAATTCATATGATTTACTTTTTAAAATTTTAAGCCAAGAAGTAATAGCATATATTTAATATCACATAAATACAAAGGTGTCAGCCTTGGATCTTTATGGAAACTTTCAGGTTACAAAACAAACCAAAACAAAAATCTTGTTACTATGATCCTAGAGACATAGCCAAGGATGAAACATCAACTCATTTTCATCTCACAGAACCTTAAACTGAGGGCATTGAAGGAAAGGTTTTAAAAAAAGGACCATGATAATAATGAAAATTAACATCCTAAATCTTTGACACTCTAGGTTGTCCTATCACCTTGGCACGAGGAAGGCTGCCTGCTCTACGTTGGGTACTAAGAGGAGAAACACCTACTTATTCTATCAGTTAATGGAAGTCACTGCAGAAAAAGTTCAGAGCCATTAATGGGCAAAAGTAATGTTTCTTAGGCCAGGCTCAGTGGCTCACGCCTGTAATCCCAGCACTTTGGGAGGCCGAGGCTTGCGGATCACGAGGTCAGGAGTTCGAGACCAGCCTGGCCAATATGGTGAAACCCCCGTCTCTACTAAAAAATACAAAAATTAGCCAGGCATGGTGGTGAGCACCTGTAGTCCCAGCTACTCAGGAGGCTGAAGCAGGAGAGTCGCTGGAACCCAGGAGGCGGAGATTGCAGTGAGCCGCGATCTTGCCACTGCACTCCAGCCTGGGCAACAGAGCAAGACTTCGTCTAAAAAAAAAAAAGTGTTTCTTTTCCAAGACTTGGGATAATGTTAATGGATTACAGTGTTAAAAAATTAGTTCTTTCTTGTATCAATGAAATCTAGAGGAAGCAAAAGTTAGGGTCAAAGGGAATTTTAAAACAATAGATATTTTAATTAAATAGTCTGTAGGAATTCCCTATATTTGGGTTAAATAATATTACAACAAAATCGAACGTGCATCCATATTATTTTTTACACTAAGTTAGCACTGTATACAGTACATGGTATAGTGTTTGAAATATGGGAGGTATTTGATAAGTATCTGTTGATTGAATTAATGCATTGTTTTGGCAATAAATGGGTCATTGGCTAGAGTCCAGCAATACCTCATTTATAAAACAGTCACTTTTGTTGTTGTTGTTGTTTTTAGAATGATGGCTTTAAAAGGAAATTAATCAGCGGTTGCATGGAATTAAGATCCACCTCATCTATTTTCTACCCTCTTCTGGGCTGCTTGTATCAATGGGGAACCTGGGATAAAAGATAAAACAGAAATAAGACGGCTCAAAGACCTGTGCTCTGCTTTGTGGGCTGTGATGTGCCCAGGGATTTCAGGCGGTTGCTTCATGTCTGCCCAGTTGCCCCATCTCTGAACTGGGCATAATGATAATTACCAGCTTCATAGGAGGGCAGAGTGGATTAATGAGGTAATCTTGTAAAGCGCTTGGCAGGTGAAAAGTTCTTGAGAGATGCTGTGATTGCAGTCATTAGTTTTCGTAGACACTCTGGGAGCGAATCTTAGCAAGGAGACATGTAATTAATGCAGCAGCTCTTTGTGGTTGGTGCAATGCTCGCTCACTGGAGAAGAGCTTGGGGCTGCTTCCACTGGCTACTTCCTTTCGATTCCCATTGACTGCTTATTCCCCAGTTCCAATCTACCCCAAATGCCTTCCTCTGTGATGCCTTTGCTGACAACTGACCTGGCTGCTGGAATGCCTCAATTGGGTTTGCCTTTGGTTTATCAAGGGTGGGCGCCAGTCGCAGTGAAAACCGAGAACCTGATAGTTATCTTCTGGCGACTCCAGGGGCCTCCTTGAACATTGTCAGTACCCTGCTTGTGCCCTAACCCTGCAACACGAAGGAGCTTAGAGGGCCCACCTCTGGGATCCAAAGTTTCCATCCTTGATGGCTTCACCTCTATTACAGTCCCAGCAGCATCTTTCTGGGGCACAGGACAGTCAGTTTGTGATGGGAGAAGAGATTCAGGAGACTCAGAGCTGATCGTGGGCAAGGGTAACTTTCTAGTGAGGGGTGAAGGCAATTGACAATGAGCAATGTTGATATTTTGAGGTCTCAGAGCACGTGGAATGGATGCACTTCTTGAAATTAAAAAAACAGTTCCCTAAACAAAGGAAGACGACGGAAATTTGGGGTGATTCTTAGCAGCATGTCTGGCCGGCAGCCTTGCAAGTGATTTATGGGGCCCGTCCCCTTCCCCCTCCTGCGCTGGCTGAAGTCAAAGCCATATGCCCTGTTTCTGTGCAGAGGCCTGAGCTCTACGAAGCAGGAGCTTCACCCAGACGGGGCTGGCGGGGAGGGAACCAAGCTGGGCCACCGGGCTGTCATGCCAGCTCCTAAAAGTGGGCATTTGTTTCCTGCTTTCTAGAATCAAGTCAGTCCAAACCTTATGGCTGTATTTCCATTAAAACTGTCATTGGAATATCGCACACGGGTCCTCTCCGTAGGCCATTTGTCCTGAAAGAAAATTTCTGAGCAAGGATGGGAAAGGATCCTGGCCAGGGGAACACTGACCTGGTGTATTTCCCCCTCTCGCCTGCACTGACAGACAGAATGAGAACAGCACGGGCTGCATTTGTTGTTTGCTTCTTTCATGGCTTGCCCTCTGGTTTTCCTGGCGAGTAGGAGAACTATTCAGTATGCTGACTTGTTTAATTTACTTGTAAAAGAAAATGTGCTTTAAGATAGACTTACATTGTGCTGATGCTGAGTGCACCTACATCCTCATGAACCAGCATGGTGGTCTGAGGCCCCCAAGATGACCACTCTCAGGTCTAAGGAGTTCTTTCTGTGTTTTTCCCCATTACTGGAGCTTTATAATTTGTCTCGGAAGCTCTGCAAGAAGAAAAGAAGCTCATTTCAAATTCTTTCTGCTCCTCACCACCCAGGAGCCTTTTGTGTGTCTTTAACTCATGAGCTCTGGCAAGGGACTGAGTCAGGAGAATGAGGTGAGCGCAGTTTAGCCCCAGGAAGGAGAAGACCCAGTTCTGGACTTATGCCAGCCAGACTGAGCTGACAGAACCATATATACTTGCATTCCAGTGCCTTCTAGATAAGCCTCGACACACAAGAGAGGTCATGAATATCATTACTAATATTTCTATATAATAATTAGCAAGAATTTACCCTTTGCCAAGCCCTGGAATTTTAACATGCACAATAACCTCATGAAGTTGGCATCGCCATCCCCATGGTACAGAACCAGGATTCAGAGATGGTGGGTAACTCACCCAGGGTTACCTAGTTAGCATCAGGGGCCAAGAGAAGAGATAACCGGGCTAAGTAGGTAATGGAAAGTGATCTCTTAGCTCAGTTTTCATATAGAAATTTGGAGAAAGGCAGGGACTGAAATGTGAAATCTCTCTGCAGTGGTGGTTTTGCCGCTCGAAGATGGGTTTTCCCCGAACTCTTTACATTTATCAATCAAAGATTGCTCTTCAAATTTTGGAATTGCACAGAGGGAGAGGAAGTATGCTGAAGACAGGTAAAGAGAGGTGGAGAGGGAGACAGAGAAGCAGAGAGAGGGGAACTAGGGAAAATGAGGTGTGTGTGTGTGTGTGTGTGTGTGTGTGTGTGTGTGTGTGTGTGTTTGGTGTGGTGAGAAATGGAGTCACATTGAAATAACAGAGGCTGGGTTGGAGCACCTAAGTTATTACGTTTTAGACACAGATTGGCACCAAAGAACCTAGAGTAAGTATTAAGAGACCTTTACAGTTTCTACGTTAGTGTTAGGAGGAAAAAACGATCCCTCCTGTCTCTCCCTCTCAGGTTATAGACAAAGACACTAAGGTCCAGAGAAATTAAACAATGGACCAAAAGCTGCATAACTAACCACAGGCAGAGCTGGAATGAGAGCCCAGGTCTTCTCTAGGCTGATGCCCACTGCCTCCCTCCCTCAGGGTTGTAGAGACCAGGTTGAAATCAGATAGGTTGGCATTGCAATGGCATATTCCCTGGAAGACCATTTATTGGAGAATAGCAGCTGTTGGGAAGTTGCTTCTCTGAGAGCTGTTTCATGACAGAAGTGGCAGCTTTAATTTGAGTCCTCAGAGAAGAAGAAGCGTTAGAGCCATTGGTGAGCAGGTCAGTTTTCAGTTCAGGAAAACTGAATACCCAAGTAGACAACAGCAGTCAGATTAGTTACATTAAAACATGGCCCACGGAATTCTGCACACTTCATTCATTCACTCATTAATTAATTCACTCTCCAAATAGCTATTTAACCCATCATGTATAGGAAATTTATAATCAAGCACATAAGCAAATATAATGGTGATCATATTTGCAAATGTTTAATCATGATGTTTTGACATCCTCCTAAATCATGGTTCCACGCAGCCACTCTCTCCAAGGCTGAACCATGAGGCGAACTGCCCCAGGGAAGGAAGGATTGGGTACTACCTGGATCAAAGACACCATAGACTGCTTTATGGCTCAAAGCCAGACTCTAACTCCTCTCAGTCCCATATGTTTATTGACCAGATCCCATTTTGTATGTGAATTCCCCCTAGATGCTTAGGTACAAAGATTTTAGAGATCACCTCCACACACTCATTTTACCAGAGAAAAAACTAAGACCCATGGAGGTGGACAATGTGCCCAATGGAGTTAGTGGCCAAGCCTGACCCCAGGTGTCTACTCAGAATCCAACATTCTGAATTTTATGCCACTCTGTTTGCTTTGGTCCTTGGGGAAGCATCCAGGTTTTTACCCATATTCATGTTTTATTTTTAATACACTTTTATAGTTAAGGAAATAGTTTGCCTTAACAAAATTCCTGTTTCATCATCTCTGGGTGTTTCTATTAAGAACAAAGGCAAAGGTTCTGGCTGTGTGGTTGTGAATATTTTCGTCTACTGATGGGAGATAGCCAGGAGTGGCCCAATTTGAAGTGGTGAAGATCAGAATGTGCTTTGAATTGTGATTGCTCAGGCTTCAGTTATAATCTTAAAAATTATTCAACCCTGTCCTTGAGGTGCCATGCCATGAAAGGAAACACTCTTTACTTGTGATTTAATGAGCATGTAGGATGACTTATATGCCTTTGATTGGGTCTGTGTGTGAACCCTGAGCCCGAGAGGACATTTCATGCCTTCTCTGCATCATTGCAGCTGTTCTGTGGCTTGACCTGTTGACACAGCCACCATGTGGTGTCAATATTTGCAGACTGGACAGTCTTTCTCTGCTGGATAGTTTTGCTTGTGGGAACTAAAACTCTGCTAGTTTACTCAAGGATAAAT
This sequence comes from Homo sapiens, assembly GCF_000001405.40. Classification (NCBI taxonomy): domain Eukaryota; kingdom Metazoa; phylum Chordata; class Mammalia; order Primates; family Hominidae; genus Homo; species Homo sapiens. The sequence continues at coordinate 14,260,290 of NC_000010.11, read as the reverse complement.
AGATCCTCATGCCAAACTCCAATTCCTCTTAAAGCACATGAGAGTCCGTGCAGTACAAAAGGGAGAGAATGCAGCGGTTGTAAGCTGGATCATGGCATGCTGGGGTCTGGAGCCAAACTGCACCTGCCGAGGGCTCTGGCACACATCATGTCTTCTTCTTTCCACGATGTTCTCCCTCCTGCACAATGTCAAGTGATAGCCTTCCCTTTAAGTCTGGGTTAGCTGCCAAAAAATAAAAAAGGAGATGGGATTTTTTTTTTTTTTTTTGCCATTTCTAGACTATATCTATGACACAGAGATCCTTAGAGATTCTTTTTTTCTGAAGACGTGAGTATTGCATTCCTCAAAGACTTAACATCCCTGACAACAGTCTCCATGGTGTTAGGAAGAGGTAGAGGCATAAGTGAGAGAAACAGCTGGAGCCATGTAGCTGTGGGCAATGTGGTTGTCATGGTGTCCATCCTAACAGCCATGGCAAAGAGGATTCCATGATGACAATGAGCCGTGTCCCTTACCCTGCATGGAAAAATAGCAGTCAATAGAGAAGGAGACCTGGAAGGTGCAACCAACTCTTTGTGCATGTAAATTTGCAAAATGAAGTGAAGTCAAACATTTTCTTTTTAAAGAATATTTTCTCTGACTAAAAAATTTGTGGTTGATGTTTAAAAAGTAAATAGAAGAAATTATAAAGAAAAAAGTTAAAATAGCCCCAGATTTCAATACCTAGAGGTATGAAGATTTTAATGATATTGGCAGATGGCTTCCCTGAGTAGCTTTTTGAATCATATTACATTTGCAGGAGTATGAATACTGATCTCACTGCATCATCAGCATTTATTATTAAAATTGAAAAAATGCCATTTTTATAAATGAGAACTGACAGGAAAATCATTGGTTTAAATAATATTTATTTCAGTAATATAATTATTAAAGATTTGTATATTCTTCAATAGTGAATGGTGTGTTTACACTTTTAACTTTTTTGAGATGGTTTTGTATTCTTATGAATTTGTGAGGCCACTTTTTACATTAGGTAAATTACCATTTACATGTCATTCTTATTACAAGTACTTCTTATTGTTTGCCATTTACCTTTTTATGATTCTGTTACTGTTTACAGGTTTGTCAAGGCATAATTAATGTATAGTAAACTGAACATTTTTAAAGTATACAGTTTTTGAAGAGTTTTGGCATATGTATTAGACCATCACTATAATAATAAAAGTGAACATATCCCTTGTTCCAAGAAATTTCCTTTTGCCCCCTTTGTAATCCCTCCCTCACACCCCTCACCATCCCCAGTAACTGCTGATCTGATTTCTGATTTTATACAGTAGTTTCCACTACTTAATATTTTTATGAATAGATTCATGCAACATGTACTCTTTTTTGCTGACTTCTTTCATTCAGCATAATTATTTTGAAATTCATCCATATTGTCACATGTGTCAATATTTATTTTTATGGCTAAGTAGTATTTCCTTGCATGGTTTTGTTTATCTGTTCAACCATTGGTGGAAATTTGAGTTGTTTTCTGATTTTTGGCTATCACAAATAAAACAACTATGAACGTTTCTGCTCAAGTCTTTGTGTGAACATGAGCTTTCATTTTTAAGTAAATACCTAGGTATAAAATGATTGGGTCATCTACCCAACTGTTTTCCAATGTTACTGTACCATTTTACATTTTCACCTGTGGTGCATGAGCGTTCCAGTTTCTCCACATAATCACCAACGCTAGGTATGATCAGTTTGTTCAACTTTAACAATTCGGATAGATGTGTGGTAGTATTTCATTGTGAATTTAATTTGCTTTTTCCTAATAATGCGTGGTGCTGAGGATTTTTTCATGTGCTTATTTGCCATCCTTGTATCTGCTTTGATGAAATGTCTGTTAAAATCATCTGTTCATTTTTTTGTTTGGGTTGTTTGTCTTATTATATAATTTTGAGAGTTCTTTTTTTTTTTAGTTAAAACCCCTTTATCAAATATACATTTTATAAATATTTTCTCCCAGTCTGTGACTTGCCTTTTATTATGTAATATAATAAATAATATTATGTAATATAATACTCTTCTTTTTTGAAGAGTATAAGTTCTATATTTTTTGAAGTAAAATGTATTTCTTTTTTTAGTGTCTGTGCTCTTGTGTCCTATTTTAGAAATCTTTTCCAAACCCAAGGTCACTAAGATTTTTATCTTCATTGTATTCTAAAAGTGTTCCAGAATATGACACGTTTTGAGTTAATTTTTATATATAGTGTAAGATAATAGTCAAGTTTTACCTTTGTGTCTGGCTATCCAATATTAGCAGCATATATAAAAAAGATTTCCTTTCTCCATTGCACCTTGTATTAGTTTTCAAAGGCTGTTTTAGCAGATGACCACAAACTGGGTGGCTTTACACAGCAGACAGTTGTTTTCTTACAGTTCTGGAAGCTGGAAGTCTGAAATCAAGTTGGCAAGGCCAAGCTCTCTGAAGACTCTAGGTTTGGATGCTTTCTTTTCTCTTCTAGCTTCTGGTGGCGGGTGGCACTCCTAAGCAGTGCTTTGGCTTGCAGGCACATCACTCCAATTTCTGCTTCCATCTTCACATGACAGCCTTTCCTCTGTGTATGTTTCCGTGTCTCTGTTTTCTTGTAAGGACACCAGTCATTGGATTAGGGCCCACACTAAATCCAATATGACCTCATCTTAACTAATTACACCTGCAAATATCCAGTTTTTAAATAAGATCACATTGTAAGGCACCAGGTACACATGCATTTTCGAGGGGATACCATTCAACTCAATACAAAAATTACTTGCACACCTTTGCTAAAAATCCACTGACCATATACATAGCTTATACTCTGTGATTTGGTTCATTGCTTTTATTTTTTTAAGGTCCTTGTTCATACTGAGATCAGTTTATATATTAACCTCTGCTTTGTTCCAGTTTGTTAACTTTCTTTTTATTTGAGACAGGGTCTTGCTCTGTCACCCAGGCTGGAGTGTGGTGGCACGATCTCGGCTCACTGCAACCTCCACCTCTTGGGTTCAAGTGATTGTTGTGCCTCAGCCTCCTGGTTAGCTGGGATTATGGGCACTGGCCACCACGCCCAGCTAATTTTTGTATTTTTAGTAGAGGTGGGGTTTCACCAGGTTGGCCAGGCTGGTCTCGAACTCCTTATCTCAAGTGATCCATCCCATCCTTGGCCTCCCAAAGTGCCGGGATTACAGGTGTGAGCCACTACACCCAGCCAGTTAATTAACTTTCAAAAATCTAGAGTAAATTTTGGAGTATGGTATCTGGTTACACTATAAATTTTTTTCCCCAAATAAACAATATCCCTTTCTTCTCCTACTGCCTAGTATTTATTTTATTTTCTTAAATTGCTCTATACATGCATGCATGTTTAAACTTCATGTAAGTATGTATATGTTATTACATATACATTTATTTTTTATTTTTATTTTAAAAAATTTTTTGAAGAGACAGAGTCTCGCTGTGTGGCCCAGGCTGGTCTCAAACTTCTGGCCTCAAGCAATCCTTATACCTTGGCCACACAAAGTGTTGGGATTATAGGCATGATCCACTGCACCCAGCCCACATATACTTTAACAAAAATTCCGTTTGTGGAATAATTTCTCTCATGCACTTTTTTGTGTTATTTCCTTTACAATATAATAAGGTTTTATAAGCATGTATGTTAGGGCCAATTCAATGACCATTTTATTCTATTACTCTTTTGAGATTTGTAGCAACACTACACTCTTATATTCTTTATAACATTATAATTGCCATGAAAAATTTAGAAAAATTTTCCATCACTTTTCATTTTTTCTCTGCTTATTCTTCAAGATGGGTTTTAAAATAATTATTTTGAAATTATTAGAGTCCAGTCCATTGTAATTTCTAGTGGAATAGCATTTTACCAATGCATGATTTGGGGGAGAACTGTCACTTTTTGAATTACAGTCATGCCATAGAGAAATTTGTATAGAACTTCTTTTTTGTAAGTCTTTTATATCTTTCATTAAAGCTTTATAGTTTTCATCATCTGGGTTTCTATTACATATTTCTTCTTAGCAATGCATTCTTAGATATTTTTCAATTATTGCCGTCTATTATAAATATTTTCCTATTATATTTTAAAAATCAGTTTTTGCTGGTAGATAGGAACATAAATGTTTTTGGTACATTTGTCCTTTTTCTAGTCAGTTACTAAAATTGCTTATTAATTCTGTAGTTTAAAAAATTGTTTTATTTCCTTTTGGCAACAAATTTTTTTTTTTTTTTTTTGAGATGGAGGCTTGCTTTGTCACCCAGGGTGGAGTGCAGTGGCGTGATTTTGATTCACTGCAACCTCTGCATTCTCGGTTCAAGTGATTCTTGTGCCTCAGCCTCCTGAGTAGCTGAGATTAAAGGTGCAGGCCACCACACCCGGCTAATTTTTGTACTTTTAGCAAAGACTGGATTTCACCATGTTGGTCAGGCTGGTCTTGAACTCTTGACCTCAAGTGATCCACCTGCCTCGGCCTCGCAGTGTGCTGGGATTACAGACATGAGCCACCGCCCAGCCTGGCAACCAAAATTTAAACTCAATTTTTTTCTTCTAGTCTTTTCAATGACTTGTTTTCTGGTGGCTGGACTAATCTCTTTTTCACAGCTGCAGTTCGAGGGCAGGTTTATGTCTTCCGCCATAGCTTAATTCTCAGCATCTGGCAAGGGCAATTGTGCTCATCTGATTGTCTCCTGCCCTTGCTGCATTGGTCTCTGAAACTCTGAACATCGTGGTGCATTAAAATGTACAATTCCAAGTATGCGGTGCAACCAGGGCTCTTCTTGTGTCCCCATCTACAGGTCTTCCCTTTTGATACCATATTTTAATATAATGTCCTGTTACCAGTTTCTATCCTAGTTCATGCCTCGTATGTTTTCCTGAGAATTACTCTGTCCACATGTGGAAGACAGCTGATATGGGTAGCACTGTGGCTATGTTAGAAGGCAGCAACGAGGCAACAGAGGAAGTTGTCTGGCTTTCAGCTTGGTCCAGATTTATAAGCAGAGAAAGAAGACAATAGGAGAGGGAGGAATGATTTTTCTTTCACCTTTTAGCAGATGGTTTAGTTCATTTGCTGGCATTTTCTATCATTTTTGCAGGTAATGGAAATTCTTCCAGATTTTAGCAACCAACAGATAGCCACTGCTGATTTTGAGACGGTTGCACATTCTTAACCTTTTCTCCTACTCCACAGGCATTTCAGTGGAAAGCTGGTAGAGTTTGCTTGATGGGTTACAAGCCAGATGCCATTCTTAATAGGAAGTTGAGCAGTCTGGAGGCAAATTAAGTTAAGACTTTAGGGACTGGGATTGATTGACTGGAATTCTCCCTCAAGTCTCAGAAGACTTTATGGAAAGAGGAATTTTTCTTGAACATTTGTACAAGCTCTTCCTGCATTACTACCTTATCTACTCTTCCCCTTAAAACCTAGGCTATTATTTTTTTTCGATTTTATTATTATTATACTTTAAGTTTTAGGGTACATGTGCACATTAAAAGCCTAATATTTGCAAAAGAAATGCTTTGAAAATTGTATTACTTCTCATCTGTTATTTTTATGATAGATGAGAAGTAATACAACTTGCAAGGCATTTCTTTTGCAAATACTAGGCTTTTAAAAATATTTGAGGTTAAGAAGTTGGCAAGAACCCCACATTGTAAAGAAAGGTGCTAGGCGTATCCACAGGAAAACATGTGATCCAAACTGGATCTTCCAGCATTAGCTGGCTCCCACTTCAAGCCCAATACATAAGAGGAGAGATTGTGCTGGTGAGGAAGAGCCAAGATTTCCTTGGAGAGAGTTGTCAGGGTGTCCTGTGTTCTCCCTTCTGAAGGATGTCCTTCTTCCACCTCAGACAAAGCAAACGACATTTAAAAAGAATTACTCGTAGAGAGTATGGTTACTTTCCAGAAAGAGAACCTGACATATCATCCTCAATAGATGCATACAGAACCGGAGAAATCCTATAGGCCCACCTAAGGGTGTATAGTGATGAGTTTCTGGAAGAAATTGACCTTGGTTCCTGGAGTTGAAGTAGGAGGAAGGTGCCATCATGTTCCATGGATTTTTACTTGGAAGAATGTCTAGGGGTGAAATGCTGATTGGAGTTCAATGGAGGGCTGAGGTGGGGAGGGGTGGCCTGTACCTCCAGAGTTTAAGGGCAAAGACATAGCATTTTCCCTTGAGCCAGTGAGCATCACAGAAGCCAACAGAGGAAACTAGCGTAGGGAGAGTCATGAGAGGTTAGTGAGAAAGTGTATCGTCTGCAGAGGGGAACTGCAAGCTGGAGGTGTCGAAAGGTCTCTCCTGGGACCTGTGAGAGAGAGAGAAAGCTGGCATTTGCACAACTGACCCACAGAGGATTCATAAACCAAATTACAACATTACCTGCCAAGCAAGATTCTTGCTGTCTCAGCGAGCTTCCCCACTCAACACTTCACCCCGTCCTTGGTCCTAGAGAAACCAAGAGCAAAACAATAAGAGGAGGGAGAAGGAAAAGAAGAACAAGGTGAAGGAAGAGCAAATGGACCATGTTCTCTATTCCCTCTGCCTGTCACTGCCACACTCCAGTGAAGAATCTTTATCCAGAGCTGGGTAAGGGGAGAGTTTTAAGTGAATGAGCAATTGAAGCATTTATTTCTATTAAGCAGGATTTTTGGGTGCTTTGTAATGAAGTTCTTCTGATACCAGAAAGAATTACTAAAGCTATAACGATCTGTCCAGGACAGTGATAAAGAATTAGATAGAATTCATATAAAGAAAGTGGTTTTCAAAAAAAAGTTGGTTTCCCATATTCCACCCTGTGAAATCAGTCCACTTGCTATAGCAATTACACTTGCACAAAAAAACCTATATGAAAAGTTAGTCACGTGGGAATTCTTTGCTAAGCTGCTGGCAAAATATGGGGATAAAACCAGGTTTCTTAAATTCATAGGAGAGGAATTCACTATTTATCTTGGAGTTTCTCACTGTCAGATTCTGCAGGGATGATTAATAATGATACAAACACAGTTTCTCGGTCTTCAGCGGTGCTAACCTTGACCAGAGCATGGACAAAAACAAACAACAGTTTTTAACATAAGCAAAATCTCTGCTCTAATAAAAGAAAATATACCTGTGTCTTTTAGACATAAATATATCTTTTCTTGGTCAATAAATGTCAAAAGAATCTATTTGACTTAAAGCTATTCAGATTTATATTTGGGTTTAATGTAAATTATGTATAATAAAAGGTTATAACTTATCTAATAAGGTGGGAGTCCATGAGTCTACACTGATATAAATGAATGAAGAAAGAATAAATGAATGAATGAATGGAGAAGAAGGGAAAGCTTTTCCTTATAGTTAGTAGAATACTAACAGATAAATATAGAATGAATGATGGAATTAGAAAAATACCATTTGCTAACCATCATAGTAATAATTGGTTCTAACATAGTGGATCAAAGTTTGAGGAATAAAATAATATTTACATGGTCTCAAAGTATATCCCCTTAAGGCACTTCTTGTTAGAAAGGATAAAAACTAATATTATGGTAGAGATATGTGGCATATACCACCTTAACCAATGATCAAAGTTAACATTGCCAGAAATGGCATGAATCAACAGCATGGGCCACCTGATATGAGTGACCTGAGAACTCACCATCATTTCCAGAGTGTACTCCTGCCCAAGGGCCATAACCTGAATCTAATTCTGAGGAAACACTGGACAACCCCAAATTGAGGCATATTCTCCAAAATGCTTGGCCTATGCTCTTCAGAAATATCAATATCATAAAGTACCCCAAAAAGAGTCAAGAACTGTTACTAAAGAGA